>NC_000012.12:47308612-47460128 GCF_000001405.40 Homo sapiens | reverse complement strand
TCCATTTCTTAATCCAGTTAAGTCTAAAGTGCACAAATTAAGAGTTGAGGTGAGGACGAACATAATGTGCTAAAACAGCTGTGAATAACAGTGTGGAGAGACTAACATTTCTGTGGGCAACAATGCCTTATAGACTATGCTGCACTTGGAAAAATGTTTTCTTCCTTCTTATAAATGGTAGTGACTTCAAAGCATCTAAGAATTAATATTTTCTCTTAAGGATTGTGTGTATTTGGTGGGAGAGAAAGACAGAGAGACTGAGATTCTGGCCCTTCAGATCCCTGTTGGACTCAGAAAACAAAGACACTCTCAATTTGGTAACTGTGTCATAGCAACAGAAACTCAATTCAGGCTGGCTTAAAAGATAAAATATATTGTCTCATATAACTGAACAATGGAAGAAAGTTCAGGCACAGCTAGAATCCAAGATTTCCTCTTCTGCTCACTCTCTCTCTCTCTCTTTCTGTGTGTGTGTGTGTGTGTGTGTGTGTGTGTGTTCCAAGACTATATTCTTCCTTATACAGGTCCATTGAAGGAGAAAGATGGAGACAAAAAGCTACTTCAGCCTGGCATTGCCAGAAGCCCCAGCAAATGTCTCTTCTTGTTTCGTTGTTTGTTATTGGCTATGTTGGGCTATACCCTGAACCAATCATCAGAACCAGGGGTACAGAATATATTTATTGGCTTAAGTTCACCCCTGGAACTAGGGAGAGGAGAATCGTACCCCAATCTCATGGCCCAGCATAGGGAGAGAGTGACTCCCCAAACAGGAAATCAGGTAGTGTTTGTGGGAGAAAAGGAGAGGAGGTGAGAGATAGGGTGTGGGTGTGTACAAGGAACAACCAACAAATACCCCTTAGAGAGGCATATTTGGTAAGACTTTGTAGAAGACTGCTCATTGGCTGACAGTGTCCATCCTGGACTGTCCTGCTGATGGTCCCAGTTAGGGAAATGGGATGAATTCAGGGTCAAGACTTTTACTCAGACAGAATGAGGTTGTCTGCAAAATAGATGTTGGAAGGAGATCCAAAAAATAGAGAACTTAAAACAAAGGTATTTCAAGAGAGAATGAAACCCCTAGGAGAAAAAGGAAGGTTAGGAAGTGAATCATTTTCTGGTAGGCCTTAACTTCTGGAGGACTTTTCCATGGGGTCTTGGGGAAATCGAGTTTTAGTTAACATTTCTAAATCCTCTGCCTTTTAAAATTCCACTTAACTTTCTCCAACCTTCTCATAAACTTTAACGCATTTCTACAACGTAAGGTGGTGGTGCTGTGGAGGTATGAGAGACTGGAACTAGAAGTAACAGTAAGAAGAAAAACCATACTTTTTTGAGTATGTACTATGTGCCAGGGCTGCTTTGTGTCCTTTACCTGTAGTAGCTCAGAACAACTCTACAAGGTAGGCTATATTTTCAGCAGCAGCATCCTCATTTTACAAACGAGGAAACAGGCATACAAAAAGATTAGGTGACATGTCCAGCTACAGCGTTTATGCTCTTAATCACTGTGGTATGCTACCACCAAGGTGGTGTAGACCAAATTTCACCTTCATTCACCCGATCATGGAGACTAAAGTTAATAAATTCCAGGCTATGGCATGCAGCCAAGGCTGGGACTAGTACACACCAACAATGCACTTACACAGCCCTCAGAACAAAAGCCTCTTTGCACTTTTCTCCCTAGTTGCCTCACCCTAGCCCCAACCCCATGGTATCATAGGGAGGAGTAGCCCATAGGAAGCAGAGAGTGATAGTGCCAATCCCATGACTCAGAGGACTGGCCATTACTGGAACGAGTATATTATAACAAAATCCCCCCTTTTCCAATAGAGCAAGAATACGGATTATTTTAAAAAGAAGGAAAAGCTGACACTGGAGCTCTCCATAAATGAGCAAAAATTGCTTCCTATTAGGACGGTCATAGAAAGCCTCCTGGGAGAGAGGACATATGAACTGATGCCTGAGAAACTAGATCATTTGATATGGTTTGACTGTGTCCCCACCCAAATTTCATCTTGAATTGTAGCTCCCATAATCCCCACGTGTTGTGGGAGGGACCTGGTGGGAGGAATTGAATCATGGGGGCAGGTTTTTCCCCTGCTGTTCTCATGATAATGGACAAGTCTCACGAGATCTGATAGTTTTATAAAGGGGCAGTTCCCTGCACATGCTCTCTTGCCTGTCACCATATAAGATATGCCTTTGTGGGGGTAGGTTCCAAGAGGGCCGAATACAAAGAGCTCCAGTCTGCAGCTCCCAGCGTGAGCAATGCAGAAAATGGGTGATTTCTGCATTTCCAACTGAGGTACCAGGTTCATCTCACTGGGGCTTGTCAGACAGTGAGTGCAGCCCATGGAGCAGGTCGGGACATTGCCTCACCTGGGAAGCATGAGGGGTAGGGGAATTTCCTTTCCCAGCAAAGGGAAGCCGTGACAGACAGTACCTGGAAAATCGGGACACTCCCACTCTAATACTGCACTTTTCCAATGGCCTTAGCAAATGGCACACCAGGAGATTATATCCCGTGCATGGCTCGGAGGGTCCCATGCCCACGGAGCCTCACTCACTGCTAGCAGAGCAGTCTGAGATTGAACTGCAAAGTGGCAGCAAGGCTGGGGGAGGGGCGACCCCCATTGCTGAGGCTTGAGTAGGTAAACAAAGCAGCCAGGAAGCTCAAACTGGGTGGAGCCCACCGCAGCTCAAGGGGGCCTTCTGCCTCTGTAGACTCCACCTCTGGGGGCAGGGCATAGCTGAACAAAAGGCAGCAGAAACTTCTGCAGACTTAAACATCCCTGTCTGACAGCTTGGAAGAGAGTAGTGGTTCTCCCAGCATGGAGTTTGAGATCTGAGAATGGACAGACTGCCTCCTCAAGTGGGTCCCTAAACCCCAAGTAGCCTAACTAGGAGACATCTCCCAGTAGGGGCCAACTGACACCTCATACAGCTGGGTGCCCCTCTGAGATGAAGCTTCCAGAGGAAGGATCAGGCAGCAACATCTGCCATTCTGCAATATTTGCTTTTCTGCAGCCTCTGCTGGTGATACCCAGGCAAACAGGGTTGGGAGTGGACATCCAGCAAACTCCAACAGACCTTCAGCTGAGGGTCCTGACTGTTAGAAGGAAAACTAACAACCAGAAAGGACATTCACATCAAAACCTCATCTGTAAGTCACCATCATCAAAGACCAAAGGTAGATAAAACCACAAAGATGGGGAAAAGCAGAGCCGAAAAGCTGAAAATTCTAAAAATCAGAGTACCCCTTCTCCTTCAAAGGAACGCAGCTCCTCACCAGCAGTGGAACAAGTTGGACAGAGAACGCCTTTGACGAGTTGAGAGAAGACAGCTTCAGATGATCGGACATAACAAACTTCTCCGAGCTAAAGGAGGATGTTCAAACACATCGCAAAGAAGTTAAAACCTTGAAAAAAGACTAGATGAATGGCTAACTAGAATAAACAGTGTAGAGAAGTCCTCAAATGACCTGATGGAGCTGAAAACCATGGCACAAGAACTATGTGATGCATGTACAAGCTTCAGTAGCCAATTTGATCAAGTGGAAGAAAGGGTATTGAAGATCAAATGAATGAAATGAAGCGAGAAGAGAAGTTTAGAGAAAAAAGAATGAAAAGAAACGAACAAAGCCTCCAAGAAATATGGGGCTATGTGAAAAGACCAAATCTACATCTGATTGGTGTACCTGAAAGTGACAGGGAGAATGGAACCAAGTTGGAAAACACACTTCAGGATATTATCCAGGAGAACTTCCCCAACCTAGCGAGGCAGGCCAACATTCAAATTCAGGAAATACAGATAATGCCACAAAGATGCTCCTCAAGAAGAGCAACTCCAAGACACATAATTGTCAGATTCACCAAAGTTGAAATGAAGGAAAAAATGTTAAGGGCAGCCAGAGAGAAAGGTCAGGTTACCAACCAACGGAAGCCCATCAGACTAACAGCGGATCTCTCAGCAGAAACTCTACAAGCTAGAAGAGAGTGGAGGCCAATATTCAACATTCTTAAAGAAAAGAATTTTCAACCCAGAATTTCATATCCAGCCAAACTAAGCTTCATAAGTGAAGGAGAAATAAAATACTTTACAGAGAAACAAATGCTGAGAGATTTCGTCACCACCAGGCCAGCCTCACAAGTGCTCCTGAAGGAAGCACTAAACATGGAAAGGAAAAACCTGTACCAGCCACTGCAAAAGCATGCCAAATTGTAAAGACCATCAATGCTAGGAAGAAACTGGATCAACTAATGAGCAAAATAACCAGCTAACATCATGACAGGATCAAATTCACACATAACAATATTAACCTTAAATGTAAATGGGCTAAATGCTCCAATTAAAAGACACAGATGGCAAATTGGATAAAGAGTCAAGACCCATCAGTGTGCTGTATTCAGGAGACCCATCTCATGTGCAATGACACACATAGGCTCAAAATAAAGGGACGGAGGAAGATCTACCAAGCAAATGGAAAACAAAAAAAAAAAGCAAGGATTGCAATCCTAGTCTCTGATAAAACAGACTTTAAACCAACCGAGATCAAAAGAGACAAAGGAGGCCATTACATAATGGTAAAGGGATCAATTCAACAAGAAGAGCTAACTATCCTAAATATATATGCACCCAATACAGGAGCTCCCAGATTCATAAAGCAAGTCCTTAGAGACCTACAAAGAGACTTAGACTCCCACACAATAATAATGGGAGACTTTAATAGCCCACTGTCAACATTAGACAGATCAATGAGATAGAAAGTTAACAAGGATATCCAGGAATTGAACTCAGCTCTGCACCAAGAGGACCTAATAGACATCTACAGAACTCTCCGCCCCAAATTAACAGAATATACATTCTCCTCAGCACCACACCACACTTATTCCAAAACTGACCACATAGTTGGAAGTAAAGCAGTCCTCAGCAAATGTAAAAGAACAGAAATTATAACAAACTCTCTCTCAGATCACAGTGCAATCAGATTAGAACTCAGGATTAAGAAACTCACCCAAAACTGCTCAACTACATGGAAACCGAACAACCTGCTCCTGAATGACTACTGGGTACATAACGAAATGAAGGCAGAAATAAAGATGTTCTTGGAAACCAATGAGAACAAAGACACAACATACCAGAATCTCTGGGACACATTTAAAGTAGTGTGTAGAGGGAAATTTATAGCACTAAATGCCCACAAGAGAAACCAGGAAAAGATCTAAAATCGACACCCTAACATCACAATAAAAAAAACTAGAAAAGCAAGAGCAAACACATTCAAATGCTAGCAGAAGGCAAGAAATAACTAAGATCAGAGCACAATTGAAGGAGATAGAGACACAGAAAA
The DNA here is from genome assembly GCF_000001405.40 of Homo sapiens. Taxonomy (NCBI): domain Eukaryota; kingdom Metazoa; phylum Chordata; class Mammalia; order Primates; family Hominidae; genus Homo; species Homo sapiens. The sequence continues at coordinate 47,454,778 of NC_000012.12, read as the reverse complement.
CCCTTCAAAACATCAATGTATCCAGGAGCTGGTTTTTTGAAAAGATCAATACAATTGATAGACCACTAACAAGACTAATAATGAAGAAAAGAGAGAAGAATCAAACAGATGCAATAAAAATTGATAAAGGGGATATCACCACCAATCCCACAGAAACACAAACTACCATCAGAGAATACTATAAGCACCTCTACACAAATAAACTAGAAAATCTAGAAGAAATGGATAAATTCCTGGACACATACACCCTCCCAAGACTAAACCAGGATGATGTTGAATCCCTGAATAGACCAATAACAGGTTCTGAAATTGAAGCAATAAATCATAGCCTACCAACCAAAAAAAGTCCAGGACCAGACAGATTCACAGCCAAATTCTACCAGAGGTACAAAGAGGAGCTGGTACCATTCCTTCTGAAGCTATTCCAATCAATAGAAAAAGAGGGAATCCTCCCTAATTCATTTTATGAAGCCAACATCATCCTGATACCAAAGCCTGGCAGAGACACAACAAAAAAAAGAGAATTTTAGACCAATATCCCTGATGAACATCAATGCAAAAATCCTAAAATATTGGCAAACCGAATCCAGCAGCACATCAAAAAGCTTATCCACCATGATCAAGTTGGCTTCATCCCTGGGATGCAAGACTGGTTCAACATATGCAAATCAATAAACGTAATCCATCATATAAACAGAATCAATGACAAAAACCACATGATTATCTTAATAGATGCAGAAAAGACCTTCAACAAATTCAACAGCCCTTCATGCTAAAAACTCTCTTAAAAGTGCATGTATATCGATAATTTATTATCATATACAGTATGTTTTCACCCCATACTAACACTGATAGAGAACAAAAAATCTCTTCACATTCTCTAGAAAGAAGCCGTTCACCAAAAGATTAGTAAACAATGAAGATTTCACTAAAGATGATATGGAAGGGACAGAGGAGGGAGGTTACATTGCACATTGCACAGCAACCTGCTGACACTTCTCATCCAAACTATCTGCTTTCAAGATTCCTTCTTTTCCACTGAACCTGCAGCATGAGGAATTGTTCTCAATGCTTTCCCATGGCAAAGCCCCATGTCTAGGTCAATTCCAGTTCCTTTCACCTTGCTCCCACCCCCACATAGAATTCTACCCTTCCCAACCTGTACCATGCAGAACACTCAGCACTTCTTTGTGTTTGGCTTTTACACCCCAGCTCATCTTTGGAATCAAAGTGTCTTCCCCCTTCCAGGGACCCAACCAACTTAGAAAATGGGTGGAGAAGAGAGTGATATGTAATCATTTGTCTTTTAAAAATGGAAGCTGCCTCACATCATCTTGAAATGAAGTGGGATATAAATAAATACCTCATCTACACTTCCCAGGCTTACTCTACAGTGTTACTTGACCTCAAGCTCTATTGAACTGTTTCTTCACTTTTATCAGGATAGTCTGAGGGCCATTTGAAAATGTTTATGAGATTACATGGCTATTAAAAAGAACAGTTTCTCTTCTTTATTACCTGAAGATACCTATATATCTTTAAAGATTATTTCCTCTGACTCTAAAAGTAATGCATGCTCATTATAGTTTATTTGAAAAATTTGGGAAAGTATCATAAAAAAAAAAAATTATAATTCTACTGCCCAGAGTGAAATTCTGTTAAAATTTCTGTATATTTTCTTATAATCTTTTCTTCTATTCTCTTTCTTTCTCCCTCTTAGTGATTTAAGAAGTGAATAAGAACAGAAAGCTACCTTGCTTTTGCTGGTAAGGGAACAGACTGGTAAATGAGAGCTGGAGGATAGCATCAGAATGACTCTATTCTCTCTGTGATGAGTTGAGGAAGACACACAAGAAAGAAGAGAAAAACTCCTAAATAACAGCATAACTTCTGTAACTGTAGTCCACAAATTTAAGCCACTCAGGAAGTGATATGAAAATATAACACATACATTTATAATTTTTACATTTTAAGAAGATGAAAGGTAAATATGATAATGCATCTTGAAATTGCAATTTATTTTTAAATACAAAAGAGTAAGCATAATTTTTTTTAAAAGATGCAGTTTAAAAGAGTTTTCACTCATAATTTAATTTCTGCTGAAAACAACCTGCATATTTTTTTTTTCTGAATCAATGTTAAAGGTATCGCTTACTTCTTATGCTTAATCAGCTATCCTTACTGGGTCTCTCACTCTATTAAAGTTGGTTATGATTAGGGGTATTATGGAACCCTGTGGACTTTGTTTATCCACATAAACAATAGCATTCAAGTCCATGGATTTTAAGAATTAAAAATCTCAAACCAAGCCAGGCGCAGTGGCTCATGCCTGTAATCCCAGCACTTTGGGAGGCTAAGGAAGGCAGATCACTTGAGCCCAGGAGTTCTAGACCAGCCTGGCCAACATGACAAAATGCTGCCCCCATGAAAAATACAGAAATTAGCCAGGTGTGGTGGCATGCGCCTGTAGTCCCAGCTACTTGGGAGGCTGAGGTGGGAGGATTGCTTGAGTCTGGGAGACAGAGGTTGCAGTGAGCTGACATCATGCCATTGCAGTCCAGCCTGGTGATAGTGACAGAGCAAGACCCTGTCTCCAAAACAAACAATAATTAAAAAAGCCAGCTATTGTTATTGTCTATGAGCACTTACAATATGCCAGCTATGAGGCTATGTGCTTTTTAAAAAATACACAATCTCATTTAATTCATATAACACCTTTAGAAATGAGTTTTATTATCTCTTATGTTTATTGCTTGTGGAAGAACTGAAGTTTTCAGAGATTATGTTATAAACTTGCTAAATGTAGCATGTCGCATGAATGACATTATTGTATAAATCTAGATTCAGTGTTCTTAGCTAATACGTGCCTTTTCTGCATTGTCATGCCAACAATTCAGACACTTTTAGGTAATGGTGTCTGGTTGTGATTATACATAGATGGGTCTGGCACCAGCCCTATATTAGTTGACGGCCAAGAAGGTCTTACCACTCAAACCTCTTAACATGAAATCTTCTTTGAATTGGGGCATAACTGTTATCCTAGGAGTGCTTTGAAATGTGGGGAAGGAGATTAGATCATTCTCAACCATTGACATTTTATCTTGAATTGGTTTATTGATTAGCTCACTGGCCATCTCACAGGATTCTGAGAAAATAAAATTGCTCTTCCTTTTTCTAATGAAAGTCTATTTCTCAGAGTGTGATATGGGAGGAGGCATCTGGAAAGCCATGGGGAAATAGGGAGACAGGAGGGAAGATTAAATGCCAAACTCTGGGAGTGGAATGAAATGTAGAGATGGGACTCCACATACAGTTTTCTCCAATTGATAGTTGTGCCCATGCCTGACCAAGGTACTAATGTTCTTACCTATACCGAAGACCATAGTCTTGAGACGGAAAATCCAGGGGTAATTTTATTTTATTTTATTTTTTCACTTTTCCATAAGTTACTAGGGTACAGATGGTATTTGGTTATATGAGTAAGTTCTCTAGTGGTGATTTGTGAGATTTTGGCGCACCCTATTTGTAGTCTTTTATCCCTCGCCCCCTCCCACCCTTCTCCCCAAGTCGCCAAAGTCCATTGTATCATTCTTAAGCCTTTGCATCCTCATAGCTTAGCTCCCATATATCAGTGAGAACATACAATGTTTGGTTTTCCATTCCTGAGTTACTTCACTTAGAATAATAGTCTCCAATGTCATCTAGATCACTGCAAATGCCACGAATTCATTCCTTTTTATGGCGGAGTAGTATTCCATTGTATAAATATAACACAGTTTCTTTATCCACTCATTGATTGTTGGGCATTTAGGTTGATTCCACAATTTTGCAGTTGCGAACTGTGCTGCTATAAACATGCATGTGCAAATATCTTTTTCGTATAATGATACTTTTCCTCCGGGTAGATATCCAGTAGTGGGATTGCTGGATCAAATGGTAGTTCTACTTTTAGTTCTTTAAGGAATCTCCACACTGTTTTCCATAGTGGCTGTACTAATTTACATTCCCACCAGCAGTGTAGAAGTGTTCCCTGTTCACCACATCCATGCCAACGTCTACTGTTTTTTGATTTTTTGATTATGGCCACTGTTGCAGGAGTAAGGTGGTATCACATTGTGGGTTTTGAGGAAATCCAGGGGAAACTTTACATCTTGCTTAGCTTATATGTTATCATGAGGTATTTGAAAAACTGATCAAGAAAATTTGGAAGTATCAGGATATTTTAATCATGCAGAATTATGCCTTAACAACTGGCTATAAAGTTGGTGAAAACACAAAAAAAAGAAAAAGAAAAGTTAGTTTTTCATCACATACCAAACCCCAAATAAATTCCAGATGATTTAAATGTTGGGACTTTAAAGAAAAAGTTAACAAAAGAAAATATAGGTAAATATTTATTGAGAATATTGTAGTAGGTTAAAAATGTCTAAATATGACACATAAGGCAAAATGAAAATGGAAATGAATAATATATTTGAATATATATAACACTTTTTTGTATTACTATAATAAAGGCAATAAACAGAAATAGATTAGACTTTTATAACAGACAAAGGATTATTAATTAATATCTTTAACATATAAAAGGCTCTTATAAATCACTTAAAAATAATTTATAAATGGGCAAAGTGATATTGTGTCAGTTATCCATTGATGCATAACAAATTATCCTCAAAATTAGTGGCTTAAAACAGCAAACATTTGTTATATCACAGTTTCTGTGGGTCAGAAATTAGGAAGTGGTTTAACTGGGTGGTTTTGGCCCAGAGTCTCTTCTGAAGTTGAAGTTAAGATGTCAGTCAGGACCACTGTCAGCTGAGGCTTGGCTGGGGTTGGACGATCCACTTCTAAGGTGGCTCATTCACATGGCTTTGATAGGAGGCTTCAGCTGCTCACTAGCAAGATGCCTTGGTTCTTAGCAACATGGGCCTCTTGAACTGGTGCTGCTTGAGAGTTCTCACAGAATGACAGCTGCCTTCACTGAGAGTGAGGAATCCAAGAGAGCAAGAGCAAGTCAGAAGCCATTGTTACTTCTGTAATATTCTATGGGTCACAGAGATGTGAGGTGGAAAGGGACTACACAAGGACATGAGTACCAGAAGTCAGGGACCACTGGAGGCCATTGTGGAGGCTGGATGCCACAGATATGAAATGGTAATTCATAAAAATAGAAAGACATTGGCCAACCAGTGAGAAAGGGGCCTTCATGGTAGGCAGTCTGTATCACTTGAGCTACTGTAGTCCTGGCCTTTCCCAAGTCCTAGAATCTGAGGCCCACAGCTAATGGGCTGCCCTTGTGAGACAGCCCAAGGTAAATTATGGAAGAAATCAAGATCAAATTGGGTTGCCCCTTAAAAGTTGGCATGACACCTTATTCTCTTAAGAAAAGGCAGAAGAGCAATACCCAAGAGGTATCTGTGGGATAGTGGTGAGAGGCCAGAGGCTAAGAGGTGGTATTATAGCTTCCAGTTTAAAGAATTAGTCCAGGAAGATGTGAAGCGCTTTACACTGCAGGATTGCTTGGTAGCCACCAAGGGGTACAATGATAAACAACGTAAGAAAGCCCAGTTAAGCACAGCCATAAAGTTCAATTCTTTGCAATTAGTTCTCTTTGAAAAAAATTTTCATGCAAAGAGAATTGTGCTGGAAAAAGTAAGTATTGAAGCCAAAAAGCAAATTCTGCTGAAATGATGTATATCAAAGTCCAGGTAATCAAGAAAACTAAAGCTTTGAACCATTAACGGCTGTTAATTGAGGAAGTGATATCATTTCGATTGCTGGATTTGGTCGTGAAAACTTCACTCTTAGTGACATTCCATATATCTCTCCTGGCCTTGTACAAAGGGAGCTAAAAAAGATCAAGACCTTAAGTTTTAATAATAAAAATATAGTGGTAATAAATTTTCAAAAAACCAAGAAAGAAAATGGACCAAAACCATTGTTTGATCTCATACAGAAAAAAAAAATTCTATCTCATCCTGGCATTCAAAATCCTTCACAAGTAGATGCTAAGTTGGGAATAGGCCCCCCAAAATCTGGCCATAAACTGGCCCCAAAACTGGCCATAAACAAAATCTCTGCAGCACTGTGACATGTTCATGATGGCCATAACACCCACACTGGAAGGTTGTGGGTTTACTGGAATGAGTGCAAGGAACACCTGGCCTGCCCAGGGCGGAAAACCACTTAAAGGCATTTTTAAGCCACAATCAATAGCATGAGTGATCTGTGCCTTAAGGACATGCTCCTGCTGTAGTTAACTAGCCCAACCTATTCCTTTAATTCAGCCCATCCCTTCATTTCCCATAAGGGATACTTTTAGTTAATTTAATAGCTATAGAAACAATGCTAATGACTGGCTTGCTGTTAATAAATACGTGGGTAATTCTCTGTTTGGGGCTGTCAGGTCTGAAGGCTGTGAAACCCCTGATTTCCCACTTCACACTTCTATATTTCTCTGTGTATGTCTTTAATTCCTCTAGCACTGCTGGGTTAGGGTCTCCCCAACAGAGCTGGTCTCGGCAAGTGGCGTCCATCTTGGGGGCTCAGATCCAGGTCGAAGGGTCACCGGAGCAGCGGTTGGAGAACGTGGAACTAGCTGGAGGACACCTGAATACTCTTAAAGCAATCCCCATGGTGAGTAAGAAGGGGAGCTCAGAAGCATCAGGGTAACAATGGGACAAGTGTGGGCTGTGGTTCGTTCCACCTTGGAACTTTTTCACACAGAAGATGAGGAGGAAGGAGAGTATAATGAAGTAACAGAAGAGGTTACAGAGAAGGTTTATTTGCCAGCTTAAGCTAAAGTGGCAAAGGAGGGAGAGGTTCTTCCCTACCTTTCTGCACCCCCTCCTTATTATTTTGAAGAAAAAGGGTGGCCTGACCCTCCAGATCTTTCTTTTCCAGAGGACACTGGGCAAAAAGTAGTTGCCTCAGTAACTGTTCAAGCAGTGCCTCAAGCCACTGCTCTTACTTCTATTCAGGCAGGAATTCAGCAAGCTAGATGAGAGGGTGATTTAGAGGCTTGGCAGTTCCCTGTTAGAATACACCCCCTAGATCAACAGGCAAATATTATAGCTACATTTGAGCATTTTCCTTTTAAATTACTCAAAGAATTTAAACAAGCTATTCATACTAAAAAAGAATGTAGAAAAAATCAGCGAGTCAAGTTGCCAAATAGGGGAAAAAAGAAAACTGCTGAGTCTGAACTATGTCCAAAATGTAAAAAAGGAAAACACTGGGCTAATCAGTGTCACTCTAAGTTTGATAAAGAAGGGAACGCAATTTCGGGAAATGCCATGAGGGGCCCATCCCAGGCCCCATTCTAAACCAGGGCATTTCCAGCTCAGGCCATTCCCTCACCCCTGTACAATGTCTGTCCCCCACCACAGCCAGTAGTGCCATAGTAGATTTATGCTGCACAAAAGCTGTGAGCCTTCTGCCTGGGGAACCCCCGCAAAAGGCCCCAACAGGAGTCTGTGGACCCTTGCCAGCGGGGACAATAGGATTACTTCTAGGAAGGTCTAGTTTAAGTTTAAAATGGGTAGGAATACATACAGGAGTCATTGATTTAGATTACAATGGGGAAATTCAAATTATTATATCTACTTCTGTTCCCTGGAGAGCAGAGCCAGGAGAGTGCATAGCACAGCTCCTGATTGTGCCGTATGTGGGAATGGGGAGAAGTGAAATTAAATGAATAGGAGGATTTGGAAGCACAAATAAACATGGCAAAGCAGCTTGTTGGGTAAATCGAATTACTGATAAACGTCCTACCTGTGAAATAACTATTCAGGGAAGGAAGTTTAAAGGTTTGGTAGATACAGGAGCGGACATTTCAATTGTCTCTCTACAGCACTGGCCGTCCATGTGGCCAATTCAACCCACTCAATTTAACATAGTTGAAGTTGGTAAAGCCCCTGAAGTATATCAAAGTAGTTATATTTTGCATTGTAAAGGACCCGATGGACAACCTGCGACTATTCAACCAATTATAACTTCTGTACCTATAAATTTATGTGGGAGAGATTTATTACAACAATGGGGAGCACAAGTTCTAATTGCAGAACAATTATATAGCCCTCAAAGTCGACATATGATGCATGAAATGGGGCATGTCCCTGGTATGGGACTAGAAAAAAAATGCAAGATTTGAAAGAAATGCTTCAAATGGAAAGATAGTTCCCTCCAAAGATTAGGATATCATTTTTGATGGTGGCCATTGTTAAGCCTCCAGAACCTATACCTTTAAAATGGTTAACAGATAAGCCAATTTGGATAGAACAATGGCCACTAAGTAAAGAGAAACTGGAGGCTTTAGAGAAATTAGTTACTGAACAATTACAAAATGGGCACATAGCTCCAACATTTTCCCCTTGGAATTCTCCAATTTTTGTAATTAAGAAAAAATCAGGTAAATTGAGAATGTTAACTGACCTAAGAGCTGTCAGTTCAGTTATACAACCTATGGGAGCATTACAGCCAGGATTGCCTTCTCCTGCTATAATTCCAAAAAATTGGCCTTTAATAGTCATAGATTTAAAAGACTGTTTATTTACTATCCCTTTAGCTGAGCAAGACTATGAATGGTTTGCATTTACAATTCCTGCAGTAAATAGTCTGCAGCCTGCTAAGCATTTTCATTGTTTCACAGATAGGTCTAGTAATGGTAAAGCATCTTATTCTGGCTGGAAAAGTAAGGTTTTTCAGATGCCCTATACTTCAGCTCAAAAAGCGGAGCTTGTAGCTGTAATTGAGGTATTGACTGCTTTTAATATGCCTATTAATGTGATTTCTGATTCTTCATACGTGGTTCATTTCACACAGTTAATTGAAAATGCTCAGTTACGATTTCATACAGATGAACAACTTATGACTTTATTTACCCAATTGCAAACAGCAGTTAGAAGTAAAATGCACCCTTTTTACATAACTCACATTAGGGCTCATACACCTCTTCCAGGACCTTTGACTGAAGGGAATCAAATGGCTGATCGCCTAGTTGCTAATGCAATATCTAATGCTAGACATTTTCACAATTTAACCCATGTTAATGCCTCTGGTCTCAAATGCAGATACAACATTACCTGGAAAGAGGCTAAAGCTATTATCCAGTGATGCCCAACTTGCCAAACGGTACATTCCTCATCTTTTACAGGAGGAGTTAATCCTTGAGGATTGGAACCTAACTCTCTTTGGCAAATGGATGTCACACATGTTACCTCGTTTGGGAGACTAGCTTATGTACATGTATGTGTAGACACCTTTTCTCACTTTGTCTGGGCTACATGCCAATCAGAAGAGTCTTCTGCTGTGTTAAATGTCACCTTTTGCAGTGTTTTGCTGTGATGGGCATTCCAGCTTCTATTAAAACAGATAATGCCCCAGGTTATACTAGCCAAGCTCTAGCTACATTTTTCTCTATATGGAATATTAAACACATTACTGGTATCCCATACAATTCTCAAGGACAAGCCATAGCGGAAAGAATGAATCTTTCCCTAAAATAGCAGTGCAAAAGCCAAAAGGGGGAAATAGAGAATATGGAACCCCACAGATGCAACTGAATCTAGCATTATTAACTTTAAATTTTTCAAGCCTGCCCAAAGGCCAGATGTTAACAGCAGCTGAACAGCATCTATAGAAACCAGCTGCAAAGACAGAAGCAGAACAATTGATTTGGTGCAGAAATCCAATAACAAAAAGTTGTGAAATAGGTAAAATAATAACTTGGGGTAGAGGTAATGCTTGTGTTTCTCCAGGCCAAAATCAAGAGTCGATTTGGATACCATCAAGACTTCTGAAACCTTATCATAAGCCAGATGCCAAGGAAGAGGCTCTGGGAGTATCCCAAGGATCCCCCAGTTGCAGCCATGTTGAGATTGACAACCCCAACTGTCATGAGCAACACCCATCGAACACAGCCACCCACCTAGGGACGGATCAAGAAGCTGTCACAGATGGCGGAAGAAAACCTGAGGAAAGCAGGACAACCACTCACTATGAGTAATTTAATGGTAGCTATGATAGCAGTGATCACCATTGCCATGAGTATTCCTTCAATAAGGGCTGACACAGGGAAGAATTATACTTATTGGGCATATTTATCAATCTTGGCTGGCAATAATGCCTAGATGTAATCACTCTATGACACAGTTACACATGCTTTCTGATCTCAGTATTTACCATAATAAATTTGCTCCTATAATTGAGGCATACCCCCCTCAAAAACCTATTTGTAAACAAAATTGAACCTGGCAAGAAAAAATGAATGTACTTGTTTAAGAAGATTGCATTGCAGAACAGGTAGAGGTGCTGCACAACAATTCCTATGGAATCCTTATTAATTGGTCCCCTAAGGGGATGTTTAGCTTGAATTGCACCTCTCAGTCTGCGTGCTATGGCCACACTATGTTCAAATGTTCTGAACAAAATGGTCAGATGGTAGAAATGATAAGAAGTATGGCAAGAGTTCCTATTATCTGGAACCATGGTGGTATAGTGACACCTCAACCTCAAATGATATGGCCTGCTGTAGGAGCTAAACATTAAGGATTTGTGGAAACTATTAATAGCTCTTAATAAGATCAAAATTTAGGAAAGAATAAAAAAACTAGAAGGACACTCTACAAACTTGCTTTTAGATATAGCAAAATTAAAAGAACAAATATTTAAAGCATCCCAGGTGCACCTGGCCTTAATGCCAAGAACTGGAGTGCTTAAAGGAGCTGCAGACAGATTAGCAGGTAGTAAACCACTAAAATGGATAAAAACATTTGGAAGCTCTGTAATTTCAATGATGATTGTGCTTTTAATCTGTGTTGTTTGTCTTTGTATAGTCTGCAGATGTGGATCCTGACTCCTGTGAAAAGTAGCTCACCATGACAAAGCTGTCTTTGCTTTTATCACTTTGTAAATCAAAGAAGGGGGACATGTTGGGAATAGGCCCCCAAAATCTGGCCATAAACTGGCCCCAAAACTGGCCATAAACAAAATCTCTGCAGCACTGTGACATGTTCATGTTGGCCATAACACCCACACTGGAAGGTTGTGGGTTTACCAGAATCATGGCAAGGAACACCTGGCCCACCCAGGGCGGAAAACCACTTAAAGGCATTCTTAAGCCACAAACAATAGCATGAGTGACCTGTGCCTTAAGAACATGCTCCCGTTGCAGTTAACCAGCCCAACCTATTCCTTTAATTCAGCCCATCCCTTCATTTCCCATAAGGGATACTTTTAGTTAATTTAATATCTATAGAAACAACGCTAATGACTCTCTTGCTGTTAATAAATATGTGGGTAAATCTCTGTTCAGGGCTCTCAGCTCTAAAGGCTGTGAGACCGCTGATTTCCCACTTCACACCTCTATATTTCTGTGTGTATGTCTTTAATTCCTCTAGTGCTGCTGGGTTAGGGTCTCCCCGACTGAGCTGGTCTCAGCTCTAACCTCTTTATAAATCTTAACTACAGTTTATTTTGTCTCTTTCATCCTCTTCAGTCACATCAGTGTATTCTATGTCTTTTATTCGTATCTTGCATTTCTGATTACATTTATTATCATGTTGCCACCTCACCTATCTTATCTGTTTTTCTTTTCTTGCCCCATATAATTCTTAGACTACCTTTTATACTTAGCTCAAATATATCCTCTTTCATAAAAAGTTTTGCAGATCACTGCATTTTTTTCATTCTGTATACCCTGATAGCACCTTTGGTCTGATTTCTCTTCAATTAAGCATTCATTAAGCTATCATTTGTTTTTGGGCATAATTACTTAACATTTGAGATACACACATGCACACACACACACCCACACACACATCTCTTCAACATCTCTTCAAATACATTGTAAAGTTTTGGGGAACAGGGATTATGCTCTATATTTCTTTGCCCTCCTTGCCTTATTCTACTTCTTGGTGGCTACCTCCTCATCTTCCAGCAGGTGGTATACACCCTGTAAAAAGTGGGTAACCAATAAATACTTGATGGATTGATTTATTGATTAAAGTGACACGGCAAGATACCAGACAATAGTCTGGCCCTTTTAAAACAATGTTTTACTGAGGGTGGAAGAGGGCTGTATAAATCTGGTGAAGTGTGGCTGTTGATCTTGCTTCAAGCTAGACATGATGTCAGCAAAAGTTATGCCAGCCCAAGAAACTCTGAAAGAATGGACGTGATATATATGCCATCACTTGGGATGCTCAGAGTGATCCATTTCTGTTGACATCTCTACAAAGTTGGGCAATTTTTCCCTATTTCAAGTTTCAAAGACCTATTTTTATGACTAAGTATGATTCATTAAACATATTTAATGAGTGCCAGTCAAGGGTAAAACATCTATAACTAAAACTGGCTCATAGTAGGTGTTCAAAGAATCTTTCCTTCTTCCTCATAGCTTTGGGTGGCAAATATTCTGGCTGTTTCAAAAGATGACCCCTTCTTCCCCATTTCTCCACCTTCTTCCTCAGCATTTTCATGGGATGAGCTTTTGATTGTTGCTAATAATAGTTCCTTACATTTATATAGTGCTTTATAGTAATAAGGCAATTTCAGGTCCATAATTTCATCTGGGCATCCCATGAATCTAGCCAGATGGGTATTAATAATCTTTATTTTTCAGGTGGAAAAATGAACCTCAGAGAATTCAAGTTACTTGCTGTTGGTAGATTATTCAAAGTTGGATTTTCTGATTTAATAAAGAAGAAGAAATGAAAAGGTGGAAGGAAAGTTTTTTTGAAGGTCATTACCTTCAGAGTAACACTGTGCCAGACATTACTGTTTGCCTCCAAAACAGAAGTATATTTACAATGAGGTGAACAAGCCTAAGTCTCATGGCCTCCATTCAAATAGGCCTTTTCAAAGCCCTGGGAGGGGCCTCCACAATGTGTTTTCAGGTCAGATGTTTTTGTGAAATTTGTTAGCAAAAAGACTTTATTGTCTTCCATTACCCCCAGATTGTATAAGCTTCAGGACACAAAAAACCTAGTTCTGTCACTCTTCTCAAATAAGAGAACCTCAATTTTTAGCCAGGCATATTGCCACCCAACCAAAAAGACAATATTTCCCAGCATTCCTTGCAGAGGGGCTGGCCATGTGATCAATTCTAGCCAATGACATGTAAGCCAACACAGTATTTGAGATTTTCAGGAATTATCTTAAGATGGAGGGAAAGGGACACACTTTTCTTTCTCCCTTTTCTCATCTGGCTGCTTGGAACATGGATGTAATGCCTGGAGCTTTAGTAGCTATCTTAGACAATGAGAAAAAAAGACGTCACTAGGAATGGTGGAGTAAAGGTATTTCATGGTATAGGGGTACCATGGTTTGTTTATCCATATACCTAGGGAAGGACATTTTGTTTGTTTCCAGTTTTTCACTATTACATACAAAGCTGTTATGACCACACATGTACAAGCATTTGTATGGACATGTGTTTTATTTTTTTGGAATAAATAACCAAGAGTGCAGTTGCTGGATCATATGCTAGTTGCATGTTTTTTGTTTGTTTTAAGAAACTGACAAGCTATTTTCAAGAGTGGTGGTACCATTTTACAATCCCAATAGCAATGTGTAAGAAATACAGTTTCTCTACATCCTCACCAGCATTTGGTACTGTCACTATAAATTAGCTTTTCTACTAGTGGTGTAGTGATATCTTATTATGGTCTTAATTTGTATTTATCTAATGACTAATGATGTTGAACACGTTTTTGTGTGCTTATTTACCATGTACGTATTCTTTTCTTTCCTTTCTTTTTTTTTTTTTTTTTTTTTTTTTGAGACAGGGTCTCACTCTGTATCCCAGACTCGAGTGCAATGGCATGATCATGGCTCACTGCAGCCTCGACCTCTTGGACTCAAGCGATCCTCTGCCTCAGCTTTCCAAGTAGCTGGGACCACAGGCATGCGCCACCATGCCCGGCTAATTTTTAAATTTTTTGTATAGACATTGTCTCTACAAAATTTTTTGTCTCCATGTTGCCTAGGCTGGTCTTGAACTCCTGGGCTCAAGCTATATATCCTGTTTATTAAACTGTCTCTTTATGATTTTCACCCATTTTCTAATTGGATTCTTTGGTTATTTTAATGTTGACTTTTGAAAACTTTTTTTTATATATATAAATTCTTTGTCAGGTATTTGGTCTGAAAATATGTTCTCCCATTCTATAACTTCTCTTTTCATCAGGGTCTTTGGTAGAGTTAAAGATTTTTTAAATTTTGATGAAGTTCAATTTATTGATACTTTCTTTTATGGTATCATGCTGAAGAATCCTACACTGAACCCTAAGTCCCAAAGATCTTCTCTTGTGTTATAAAATTATTAAAATTTTAATTTAGACCTAGGATGCATTTTGAGTTAATTTTTTATATGATGTGAGGTTTAGGTAAACTTATTTTGTTTTGATTTTTCCTATGGATATCAAGTTGCTCCAGCACATTTGTTGAAAATGCTATCCTTCCTCCATTGAATTGCTTTTACACCTTTGTCAAAAATCAGCCACATTTATATGCAACAATTTATTGGTTCTCTATACTCTTCCATTAGCTTGTGTCCGTCCTTCTGCCAGCAACACACAGTCTTGATTACTGTAGCTATATGTCAAGCCTTGAAATCAGATAGGTTGATTTCTCCCACTATTTTTCTTTATAAGAATTATTATTATTATTAATATTAGAGACACGGCCTCATTCTGTTGCCCAGGCTGGAGTGTGGTGGTGTGATTATGGCTCACTGCAGCTTCTACCTCCCAGGCTCAAGTGATCCTCCTGCCTCAGTCACCTGAGTAGTTGGGATTACAGGCACACATCACCACACCTGGCTAATTTTTTTTATATTTTTTGTAGAGATGGGGTTTTGCCGTATTGCCCAGGCTGGTCTTAAACTCCTGGGTTCAAGCAATCTTCCTGCTTTGGCTTCCCAAAGTTCTGGGATTACAGGCATAAGCCACCATTCCCAGCTTATAAGAAATATTTACACTATTCTAGTTACTTTGCTTTTCCATGTGAATTTTAGAATAATTTTGTCTATATTTACAACAAATCTAAGATTTTGATATGAATAATGTTCAACTGTATATCAACTTGGAAGAATGCACATCTTTAGTTACTTTGAGTTTTCCAATTCAAACATTCAGAATATCCTTCTATTTATTTTGATCTTTGATGTCTTTCATGAGTGTTGTGTAGTTTTCAGTATGCACGTCCTGTGTGTGCATTGGTAGATTTACACATAAGTATTTCATTTTTTAACAGCAATTATAATGGCTATATATATATAATTTATTTATTTATTTATTTGTTGGGATGGAGTCTCGCTCTGACTCCCAGGCTGGAGTGCAGTGGCGCAATCTTGGCTCACTGCAAGCTCTGCCTTCTGAGTTCACACCATTCTCCCGCCTCAGCCTCCTGAGTAGCTGGGGCTACAGGCACCCACCACCACACCTGGTTAATTTTTTTGGTATTTTTTAGTAGATATGGGGTTTCATTGTGTTAGTCAAGGTGGTCTTGATCTCCTGCCCTCGTGATCCACCCCCCTCAGCCTCCCAAAGTGTTGAGATTACAGGCATGAGCCACCTCACCCGGCCTGGTTTTATATTTTTAATTTTAGTGTCCAGGTGTCTTTACTAGTATGTAGAAATGCAATTGTTTTTTGTATGTTGATGTTGTATCCTGTGACCTTGCTAAACTTACTTATCAGTTCTAGGAGTATTTTAATTTGGGGGAATTTTCTATGTAGACACTCATGCCATCTGCAAATAGGAACAGTTATTTCTTTCTTTCCACTCTGTGTGCATTTTATTTCCTTTTCTTGCCTTACTGCAATGGCCAGAATTTCCAACAGTACGTTGCATACCAGTGATGAGTGATTTACTATTTTGAATATCAGTGATGGAAATTCTTGCCCTTTTCCTGAACTTAAGAAGAAACCATTCATTCTTTTGGCATTAAGTATGGTAGCTACAGGATTTTTTGTGGATTTTTTAAAATTAAGTTTAGGAAGTTTCTCCCCCTATTTCTAGTTTTTTGAAAGTATTTATCATGAATGACTGCTGATTTTGTTCAAATGTTTTCCCTATATCTGTTAATAAGATCATATAATTTTTCTTCCTTAGCTTGTTGATATGGTGGGTCACATTGGTCGATTTTTCAATATTTAACCACCCTTGCATCCATGGAATAGACTCCACTTGGATATGGTATATAATTCTTTTTATATATCCCTGAATTCTGCTTGCTAATATTTTGTTAAGAATTTTCGCATCTATACTCATGAGAGGGGCTTCCTTCCTTCTTTCTTTCTTTCTCTTTCTTTCTTTCTTTCTTTTTCTTTCTTTTCTTTCTTTGTCTTTTCTTTCTTTCTCTCTTTCTTCTCTCTCTTCCTTTCTCTCTTTCTTCTCTCTCTTCCTTTCTTTCTTTCCCTTCCTTCCTTCCTCTTCCTTCCTTCCTTCCTTTTTCTTTCTTTCTTTCTTTCTTTCCATCTTTTTCTTTCTTCTCTGATTTTTATATTAAACTAACATTAGCCTTATAAAGTGAATTTGGAAGTGCTCCCAATTTAATTTTCTGCAAGCAAATGTATGGAATTGGTGTTAGTTCTTCTTTAAATATTTGGTAGAATTCTTCAATGAAACCATACGGGCCTGAAGCTTTTGAAAAGGTTTTTAAATCCTAATTTAATTTATTTAATAACAATAGATTATTCTAATGATCTATTTCCTGTTGCATGAGTAATGGTAATTTGTTTTTGAATAATTGATTCATATCATCTGAGTTGCCAGATTTATGTACATAGATTTGTTTATAGAATTCTCTTATTATCTTTTTGATGTCTGTAGGGTTTAAGGTGATATTCTCTTTTATTCCCAATATTTATCATCTTTGTCTTCCTTTTTTTCTTTGCCAGTCTTGCTAGAGGTCTGTCAATTTTATTGGTCTTCTCAAAGAACCACTTTATGTTTCACTAACTTTCTCTATTGTCTTGTTTGCAGTTTCATGGGTTTCTGCTTTTATCTTTATTACCTCCTTCCTTCTGTTTGCTTTGGATTTACAAGCATACTTCTGAGATGTTGTGGGTTTGGTCCCAGACCACCACAATAAAAGTGAATATCACAATAAAGCTAATCACAAAAATTGTTTGGTTTTCTAATGCATATACTAGTTATGTTTACACCATGATGTAGTGTAATAAGTGTTCAATAGTATTATGTCTGAAAAATGTACATACCTTTATTTAAAATATTTTATTGCTAAAAAATACTAACAACCATCTGAGGCTTCAGTGAGTTGTATCTTTTTGCTGGTGGAGAGTCTTGCTTCAATGTTGACGTCTGCTAACTGATCAGGGTGGTGGTTGCTGAAGGTTGGGGTGTCTGTGGCAATTTTCTTTCTTTCTTTCTTTTGTTTTTTGAGATGAAGTCTTGCTCTGTCGCCCAGGTTGGAGTGCATTGGCTCCATCTCAGCTCACTGCAAGCTCCGCCTCCCGGGTTCACACCGTTCTCCTGCCTCAGGCTCCCGAGTAGCTGGGACTACAGGCGCCCGCCACCACGCCCGGCTAATTTTTTTGTATTTTTAGTAGAGACGGGGTTTCACCGTGTTAGCCAGGAAGGTCTCGATCTCCTGACCTCGTGATCCACCCGCCTCAGCGTCCCAAAGTGCTGGGATTACAGTCGTGAGCCTCCGCACCCGGCCTTCTTTCTTAATACATAATAATAATTTATTTATCTTTAATGAAGCATGATATTATACATATTTATGGGGTATATGTGATTTTTTTACATGCGTAGAATATGTAATGATCAAGTCAGAGTACTTAAGGTGTCACCTCAATTACTTATTATTTCTATGTGTTGGGAACATTTCAAGTCCTCTCTTCTAGCTATTTTTAAACGTACAATATACATTGTTTTAACTATAGTCAAGCTGCTTTTCTGGTGAGCATTAGAACTTATTCCATCTATCTAACTAATGTTTGCACCCATTAACCAACCTCTCCTCATCCCCCTCTTCAGCCGTACACCCTTCCCAGCCTCTGATATTTATCATTCCACTTTCTACCCCAATGAGACCAACTTTTTTAGCTCCTACATATGAACGAGAATGTGTACTCTTTGTCTTTCTCAGCCTGGTTTATTTCACTTAATATAGTGAACTCTAGTTCCATCTGTGTTGCCATAAATGACATGATTTTATTCCATTTTATGGCCAAATAGTATTGCACTGTGTATATATATCACATTTTATTTATCCATTTGTCCATTGATGGACGCTCAGGTTGATTCCATATATTTGCTATTATAAATAGTGCTGCAATACACATGGAGTACAGGTTTCCCTGTGATATTCTGATTTTCTTTCCTTTGAATAAATATCCAGTAGTGGGATTGTTGAGTCATATGGTAGTTCTATTTTTAGTTTTTTGAGAAATCTCCATATTGTTTGTTACGGTGGTTGTACTAACATTCCTACCAAAAGTATATAATAGTTCTCATTTCTCTGCATCTTCACCAGCATCTGGGGTTTTCATCTTTTTTATAATAACCATTCTAACTAGAGTAAGAGGATATCCCACTGTGGCTTTGATTTGCATTTCTGATGATTAGAGATATTGGCCATATTTTCATGTATCTGTTAGCCATTTCTATGTCTCCTTTTGAAAAATATCTATTCATGTTCTTTGTCCACTTTTTAATGGGGTTATTATTATTTTTTCTTATTGAGTTGTTTGGGTTCCTTGCATATTCTGGATATTAGTCCTTTATTTTTATTATTATTTTTTAAGATGGAGTTTCACTCCTGTTGCCCAGGCTGGAATGCAATGGCATGATCTCAGCTCACTGCAACCTCTGCCTCCTGAGTTCAAGCAATTCTCCTGCCTCAGCCTCCCAAGTAGCTGGGATTACAGGAGCACACCACCATGCCCGGCTAATTTTTATATTTTTAATAGAGATGGGGTTTCACCACGTTGGGCAGGCTGGTCTTGATATTAGTCCTTTATTGAATGAATAGTTTGTAAATATTATCTCCTATTCAACATGCTGCCTCTTCCCTCTGTTGTTTCCTTTGCTGTGCAGAAGGTTTTTAGTTTGATGTAATCCCATTTATCTGTTTTCATTTTAGTTGCCTGTGCTTTTGAGGTCTTAGCTAAAAATCTTTGCCTAGGCCAATGTCTTGAAGCATTTCCCCTATGTTTTCTTCTAGTAGTTTTAGTTTCGGGTCTTAAATTTAAGTCTTTAATTTATTTTGAGTTGATTTATGTATATGGTGAGAGATGGGGTCCAGTTTTATTCTTCTGCATATGGCTATTTGATTTTCCCAGCACCATTTATTGAAGAAGGTGGTCTTTCCCCAATGTATATTCTTAGTGACTTTGTCAAGGCACTTTGTCAAGGCACTTTGACTATAAATATGTGGATTTATGTCTGGGTTCTTCATTCTGTTCCATTCATCTGTGCATCTATTTTTATATCAATACCATGCTGTTTTGGTTACTATAGCCTTGTAACATATTTTGAAGTCAGGTAATGTGACGCTTCCAGCTTTATTCTTTTTGCTCAGGATTATTTTTGTTGTTTGGGCTTTTTTTAAAAAAAACAAAAAACACCATACAAATTTTAGGTGTTTTTTTTTTTCTATTTCTGTGGAAAAAATGACATAGGTATTTTGATGTGTATTGCACTGAATGTGTAGATTGCTTTAAATAAGGTCATTTTAACAATATTAATTCTGATCCATGAGCATGGGATTTTTTTTCATTTGTTGTCCTCTTCAATTTCTTTCACCAGTGCTTTGTAGTTTTTCTTGCAGAAGTTTTTCATCTTCTTGGTTAAATTTATTCCTAGGTATTTTTTTTTTGTAGCTATTGTAAGTGGGATTGCCTTCTTAATTTTTTTCTCAGCTAGTTCATTATTGGTGTATAGAAATGCTACTGATTTTTTATTGTTGTTGATTTTGTATCCAGAAGCTTTACTGAATATTGAATTTATTCATCAGATGTCAGGGTTTTTTGGTGGAGTCTTTAGGTTTTTCTAGATATAAGATCATATCATCTGCAGAATGGGGCAATTTGACTTCCTTTTCCCCAATTTGCATACTTTTTATTCCTTTCTCTTGACTGGTTACTCTGGCCAGAACTTCCAGTACTACATTGAATAGGAGTGGTGAAAGTGGACATCCTTGTCTTGTTTCAGTTCTTAGATGAAAGGCTTTCAGGTTTTTCCCATTTAGTATGATGTTAGCTTTTGGTTTGTCATATATAACCTTTATTATGTTGAGATATGTTCATTCTACTCCTAGTTTGTTGAGAGTTTTTATCATTAAGAAATGTTGAATTTTATCAAATGCTACTTTGCATCTATTGAGATAATCACATGGTTTTTGTCCTTCATTCTGTCAATGTGATATATCACATTTATTAATTTGCATATGTTGAGCCATACGTGCATACCTGGGACAAATCGCACTTGATCATGATGTATTATCTTTTTCATATGCTGTTGGATTTGGTGGGGTAGTATTTTATTGAGGATTTTTTTCTCTATGTTTACTGGGGATACTTGCCTGTAATTTTCTTTTTTTGTTGTGTCCTTGCTTGGTTTTGGTAATGGTAAGGCTGACCTCATAAAATGGGTTAGGGAGAATTCTCTCATCCTCAATTTTTGACAGTTTGGGAATTAGTGTTAGTTCCTTTGGAACTTTGGTAAAATCTGGCAGGTTCTGGACATTTTTTCCTGTTGAGAGACTTTATTACTGATTCAATTTTATTACTCATTATTGGTCTGTTTACATTTTCCATTTCTTTCTAAGTAGTGATTCAATCTAAGTAGGTTATACATATTTAGGAACTTATCCATTTTCTCAAGGTTTTCCAGTTTCTCACTATATAGTTATTCATAATAGTATCTGATGATCTTTTATATTTCTGTAGTATCAGTTATAATGTCTCCTTTTTAATTTCTAATTTTGCTTATTTGCATTTTCTCCTTTACTTGATTAGTCTAGGTAGTGTTTTATCAGTTTATTTTTTCAAAAAACCAACTTTTCATTTAGTTGATTTTTTGTAATTTGTTTTTACTCTCGATTTAGTTTAGTTCTGCCCTGATCTTTATTATTTATTTTCTTCTGCTAATTGGTTTGGTTTGTTCTTGCTTTTTAATTCCTTGAGATGTATCATTAGATTGTGTATTTGAAGTCTTTCTACTTTTCTAATGTGGATGTTTATTTCTATAAACTTCCCTCTCAGCACTGCTTTTGTTGTATCACATAGGTTTTGGTATGTTATATTTCAAATTTTTTTCAAGAAATGTTTCGATTTCCTCCTTAATTTCTTCCTTGACCCAGTGGTCATTCAAGAGTATACTGTTTAATGTATGTATACAGTTTCCAAAGTTCCTCTTGTTATTGATTTCTACTTTTATTCCATTGTAGTCTAAGAAGATACTTGATATGATTTTGATTTTTAAAAATTTATTGAGATTTATTTTGTGTCCTAATATATTGTTTATCCTGGAGAATGTTCTTTATGCTGATGAGAAGAATGTGTATTCTGTAACTGTTAGATGAAATTGTCTGTAAATGTCTGTTATGTCCATTTGATCTAAAGTTTGGATTAAATCCAATATGTCTTAGCTAATTTTCTGTCGAGATGATCTGTTTAATGCTGAGAGTAGGATGTTGAAGTCCTTTACCATTATTGTATTGGAGTCTATATCTTCCTTTAGATCTAACAATATTTGCTTTGTATATCTAGTTGCTCTGTGGTTGGGTTCACATATGTTTAGAATTGTTAATTACTTTTGCTGAATTGACCCTTTTATCATTACATAATGATCTTCTATGTCTCTTTCTACTTTTTTTTTTCTCTTATTATTATACTTTAAGTTTTAGGGTACATGTGCACATTGTGCAGGTTAGCTACATGTTATACATGTGCCACGCTGGTGCGCTGCACCCACTAACTCATCATCTAGCATTAGGTATATATCCCAATGCTATCCCTCCCCCCTCCCCCCACCCCACAACAGTCTCCAGAGTGTGATGTTCCCCTTCCTGTGTCCATGTGATCTCATTGTTCAATTCCCACCTATGAGTGAGAACATGCGGTGTTTGGTTTTTTGTTCTTGTGATAGTTTACTGAGAATGATGATTTCCAATTTCATCCATGTCCCTACAAAGGACATGAACTCATCATTTTTTATGGCTGCATAGTATTCCATGGTGTATATGTGCCACATTTTCTTAATCCAGTCTATCATTGTTGGACATTTGGGTTGGTTCCAAGTCTTTGCTATTGTGAATAGTGCCACAATAAACATACATGTGCATGTGTCTTTATAGCAGCATGATTTATAGTCCTTTGGGTATATAGCCAGTAATGGGATGGCTGGGTCAAATGGTATTTCTAGTTCTAGATCCCTGAGGAATTGCCACACTGACTTCCACAATGGTTGAACTAGTTTACAGTCCCACCAACAGTGTAAAAGTGTTCCTATTTCTCCACATCCTCTCCAGCACCTGTTGTTTCCTGACTTTTTAATGATTGCCATTCTAACTGGTGTGAGATGGTATCTCACTGTGGTTTTGATTTGCATTTCTCTGATGGCCAGTGATGATGAGCATTTTTTCATGTGTCTTTTGGCTGCATGAATGTCTTCTTTTGAGAAGTGTCTGTTCATGTCCTTTGCCCACTTTTTGACAGGGTTGTTTGTTTTTTTCTTGTAAATTTGTTTGAGTTCATTGTAGATTCTGGATATTAGCCCTTTGCCAGATGAGTAGGTTGCAAAAATTTTCTCCCATTTTGTAGGTTGCCTGTTCACTCTGATGGTAGTTTCTTTTGCTGTACAGAAGCTCTTTAGTTTAATTAGATCCCATTTGTCAATTTTGTCTTTTGTTGCCATTGCTTTTGGTGTTTAGACATGATGTCCTTGCCCATGCCTATGTCCTGAATGGTAATGCCTAGGTTTTCTTCTAGGGTTTTTATGGTTTTAGGTCTAACGTTTAAGTCTTTAATCCATCTTGAATTCATTTTTGTATAAGGTGTAAGGAAGGGATCCAGTTTCAGCTTTCTACATATGGCTAGCCAGTTTTCCCAGCACCATTTATTAAATAGGGAATCCTTTCCCCATTGCTTGTTTTTCTCAGGTTTGTCAAAGATCAGATAGTTGTAGATATGCGGCGTTATTTCTGAGGGCTCTGTTCTGTTCCATTGATCTATATCTCTGTTTTGGTACCAGTACCATGCTGTTTTGGTTACTGTAGCGTTGTAGTATAGTTTGAAGTCAGGTAGTGTGATGCCTCCAGCTTTGTTCTTTTGGTTTAGGATTGACTTGGTGATGAGGTCTCTTTTTTGGTTCCATATGAACTTTAAAGTAGTTTTTTCCAATTCTGTGAAGAAAGGCATTGGTAGCTTGAGGGGGATGGCATTGAATCTGTAAATTACCTTGGGCAGTATGGCCATTTTCATGATATTGATTGTTCCTACCCATGAGCATGGAATGTTCTTCCATTTGTTTGTATCCTCTTTTATTTCATAGAGCAGTGGTTTGTAGTTCTCCTTGAAGAGGTCCTTCACATCCCTTGTAAGTTGGATTCCTAGGTATTTTATTCTCTTTGAAGCAATTGTGAATGGGAGTTCACTCATGATTTGGCTCTCTGTTTGTCTGTTGTTGGTGTATAAGAATGCTTGTGATTTTTGTACATTTATTTTGTATCCTGAGACTTTGCTGAAGTTGCTTATCAGCTTAAGGAGATTTTGGGCTGAGACAATGGGGTTTTCTAGATATATAATCATGTCGTCTGCAAACAGGAACAATTTGACTTCTTCTTTTCCTAATTGAATACCCTTTATTTCCTTCTCCTGCCTAATTGCCCTGGCCAGAACTTCCAACACTATGTTGAATAGGAGTGGTGAGAGAGGGCATCCCTGTCTTGTGCCAGTTTTCAAAGGGAATGCTTCCAGTTTTTGCCCATTCAGTATGATATTGGCTGTGGGTTTTTCATAGATAGCTCTTATTATTTTGAAATACGTCCCATCAATACCTAATTTATTGAGAGTTTTTAGCATGAAGCATTGTTGAATTTTGTCAAAGGCCTTTTCTGCATCTATTGAGATAATCATGTGGTTTTTGTCTTTGGCTCTGTTTATATGCTGGATTACATTTATTGATTTGCGTATATTGAACCAGCCTTGCATCCCAGGGATGAAGCCCCCTTGATCATGGTGGATAAGCTTTTTGATGTGCTGCTGGATTCGTTTTGCCAGTATTTTATTGAGGATTTTTGCATCAATGTTCATCAAGGATATTGGTCTAAAATTCTCTTTTTTGGTTGTGTCTCTGCCAGGCTTTGGTATCAGAAGGATGCTGGCCTCATAAAATGAGTTAGGGAGGATTCCCTCTTTTTCTATTGATTGGAATAGTTTCAGAAGGAATGGTACCAGTTCCTCCTTGTACCTCTGGGAGAATTTGGCTGTGAATCCATCTGGTCCTGGACTCTTTTTGGTTGGTAAACTATTGATTATTGCCACAATTTCAGATCCTGTTATTGGTTTATTCAGAAATTCAACTTCTTCTTGGTTTAGTCTTGGGAGAGTGTAGGTGTCGAGGAATTTATCCATTTCTTCTAGATTTTCTAGTTTATTTGTGTAGAGGTGTTTGTAGTATTCTCTGATGGTAGTTTGTATTTCTGTGGGATCAGTGGTGATATCCCCTTTATCATTTTTTATTGCATCTATTTGATTCTTCTCTCTCTTTTTCTTTATTAGTCTTGCTAGCAGTCTATCTATTTTGTTGATCCTTTCAAAAAACCAGCTCCTGGATTCATTAATTTTTTGAAGGGTTTTTTGTGTCTCTATTTCCTTCAGTTCTGCTCTGATTTTAGTTATTTCTTGTCTTCTGCTAGCTTTTGAATGTGTTTGCTCTTGCTTTTCTAGTTCTTTTAATTGTGATGTTAGGGTGTCAATTTTGGATCTTTCCTGCTTTCTCTTGTGGGCATTTAGTGCTATAAATTTCCCTCTACACACTGCTTTGAATGTGTCCCAGAGATTCTGGTATGTTGTGTCTTTGTTCTTGTTGGTTTCAAAGAACATCTTTATTTCTGCTTTCATTTCGTTATGTACCCAGTAGTCATTCAGGAGCAGGTTGTTCAGTTTCCATGTAGTGGAGTGGTTTTGATGAGATTCTTAATCCTGAGTTCTAGTTTGATTGCACTGTGGTCTGAGAGATAGTTTGTTATAATTTCTGTTCTTTTACATTTGCTGAGGAGAGCTTTACTTCCAAGTATGTGGTCAATTTTGGAATAGGTGTGGTGTGGTGCTGAAAAAAATGTATATTCTGTTGATTTGGGGTGGAGAGTTCTGTAGATGTCTATTAGGTCCGCTTGGTGCAGAGCTGAGTTCAATTCCTGGGTATCCTTTTTGACTTTCTGTCTTGTTGATCTGTCTAATGTTGACAGTGGGGTGTTAAAGTGTCCCATTATTAATGTGTGGGAATCTAAGTCTCTTTGTAGGTCACTCATGACTTGCTTTATGAATCTGGGTGCTCCTGTATTGGGTGCATATATATTTAGGATAGTTAGCTCTTCTTGTTGAATTGATCCCTTTACCATTATGTAATGGCCTTCTTTGTCTCTTTTGATCTTTGTTGGTTTAAAGTCTGTTTTATCAGAGACTAGGATTGCAACCCCTGCCTTTTTTTGTTTTCCATTTGCTTGGTAGATCTTCCTCCATCCTTTTATTTTGAGCCTATGTGTGTCTCTGCCCGTGAGATGGGTTTCCTGAATACAGCACACTGATGAGTCTTGACTCTTTATCCAATTTGCCAGTCTGTGTCTTTTAACTGGAGCATTTAGTCCATTGACATTTAAAGTTAATATTGTTATGTGTGAATTTGATCCTGTTATGATGATGTTAGCTGGACATTTTGCTCATTAGTTGATGCAGTTTCTTCCTAGTCTCTATGGTCTTTACATTTTGGCATGATTTTGCAGCGGCTGGTACCGGTTGTTCCTTTCCATGTTTAGCACTTCCTTCAGGAGCTCTTTTAGGGCAGGCCTGGTGGTGACAAAATCTCTCAGCATTTGCTTGTCTGTAAAGTATTTTATTTCTCCTTCGCTTATGAAGCTTAGTTTGGCTGGATATGAAATTCTGGGTTGAAAATTCTTTTCTTTAAGAATGTTGAATATTGGCCCCCACTCTCTTCTGGCTTGTAGGGTTTCTGCTGAGAGATCTGCTGTTAGTCTGATGGGCTTCCCTTTGAGGGTAACCCGACCTTTCTCTCTGGCTGCCCTTAACATTTTTTCCTTCATTTCAACTTTGGTGAATCTGACAATTATGTGTCTTGGAGTTGCTCTTCTCGAGGAGTATGTTTGTGGTGTTCTCTGTATTTCCTGAATCTGAATGTTGGCCTGCCTTGCTAGATTGGGGAAGTTCTCCTGGATAATATCCTGCAGAGTGTTTTCCAACTTGGTTCCATTCTCCCCGTCACTTTCAGGTACACCAATCAGATGTAGATTTGGTCTTTTCACATAGTCCCATATTTCTTGGAGGCTTTGCTCATTTCTTTTTATTCTTTTTTCTCTAAACTTCCCTTCTTGCTTCATTTCATTCATTTCATCTTCCATTGCTGATACCCTTTCTTCCAGTTGATCGCATCGGCTCCTGAGGCTTCTGCATTCTTCACGTAGTTCTCGAGCCTTGGTTTTCAGCTCCATCAGCTCCTTTAAGCACTTCTCTGTATTGGTTATTCTAGTTATACATTCTTCTAAATTTTTTTCAAAGTTTTCAACTTCTTTGCCTTTGGTTTGAATGTCCTCCCGTAGCTCGGAGTAATTTGATCGTCTGAAGCCTTCTTCTCTCAGCTCGTCAAAGTCATTCTCCATCCAGCTTTGTTCCATTGCTGGTGAGGAACTGTGTTCCTTTGGAGGAGGAGAGGCGCTCTGCTTTTTAGAGTTTCCAGTTTTTCTGTTCTGTTTTTTCCCTATCTTTGTGGTTTTATCTACTTTTGGTCTTTGATGATGGTGATGTACAGATGGGTTTTTGGTGTGGATGTCCTTTCTGTTTGTTAGTTTTCCTTCTAACAGACAGGACCCTCAGCTTCAGGTCTGTTGGAGTACCCTGCCGTGTGAGGTGTCAGTGTGCCCCTGCTGGGGGGTGCCTCCCAGTTAGGCTGCTTGGGGGTCAGGGGTCAGGGACCCACTTGAGGAGGCAGTCTGCCCATTCTCAGATCTCCAGCTGCATACTGGGAGAACCACTGCTCTCTTCAAAGCTGTCAGACAGGGACATTTAAGTCTGCAGAGGTTACTGCTTTTTGTTTGTCTGTGCCCTGCCTCCAGAGGTGGAGCCTACAGAGGCAGGCAGGCCTCCTTGAGCTGTGGTGGGCTCCACCCAGTTCAAGCTTCCTGGCTGCTTTGTTTACCTAAGCAAGCCTGGGCAATGGCGGGCGCCCCTCCCCCAGCCTCGCTGCCGCCTTGCAGTTTGATCTCAGACTGCTGTGCTAGCAGTCAGCGAGACTCTGTGGGCTAGGACCCTCCGAGCCAGGTGCGGGATATAATCTCGTGGTGCGCCGTTTTTTAAGCCCGTCAGAAAAGCACAGTATTCGGGTGGGAGTGACCCGATTTTCCTGGTGCCCTCCGTCACCCCTTTCTTTGACTAGGAAAGGGAACTCCCTGACCCCTTGCACTTCCTGAGTGAGGCAATGCCTCACCTTGCTTCGGCTCGCCCACGGTGCGCACACCCACTGACCTGCGCCCACTGTCTGGCACTCCCTGGTGAGATGAACCTGGTACCTCAGATGGAAATGCAGAAATCACCCGTCTTCTGCGTCACTCACGCTGGGAGCTGTAGACCGGAGCTGTTCCTATTCGGCCATCTTGGCTCCTCCCCGTCTTTCTACTATTTTTTGACTTAAAGATTGTTTTATGTAAGTATAGCTACTCCTCCTCTTTTTTGATTTTCATTTTTTTCTTAATCCATTTAGCCCACCTCTATCTTTTAAATGGGAACATTACACTCAAGGTTATTAGGTTATTATTGATATGTGTGCACTTATACCAGTCACTTTATTTATTAATTTCTGGGTTTTTCCCATATTCTTTGTTTTTTTCTTTCTCCCATTGTTTATTGTAGCTTTGTGGTTTTCTATAGTGTACTATTTGAGTTCTTTGTCTTCCTTATTTGTGTGTTTGCTCTACTGATGGGTTTAATACTTTTGTGTGTTTTTGTGATGGTGGACATCATCCTTTCACTTGCAGGTATAGGACTCCCTTAAGGACTTTATTTCTCCTTCATTCATGAAGAATAACTTTTCTGGGTATAGTATCCTTGACTGATTTTTTTCTTTTAGCACTTTGAATATAATATCCCATTCTCTCCTGGCCTGTAAGGTTTCTTGCTAAGAAATCTGCTGTTAGGCTGGACATGGTGGCTCATGCCTGTAATCCCAGCACTTTGGAAGGCCAAGGTGGGCAGGTCTCCTGAGGTCAGGAGTTTGAGACCAGCCCGGCCAACATGGTGAATCCCCATCTCCACCAAAAATACAAAAATTAGCTGGGCGTGGTGGCATGAACCTGTAGTCCCAGCTACTCAGGAGGCTGAGGCAGGAGAATTGCTGGAAGCTGGGAGGCGGAGGTTGCAGTGAGCCAGGATTGTGCCATTGCACTCCAGCCTGGAGGACAAGAGCCAGACTCCATTTCAAAAATAATAATAATAATAATAATAATAATAATAATAATAATAATAATAAAATTTAAAAAAGAAATCTTCTGTTATTCTAATCAGAGCTACCTTATAATTGACTAGATGCTTTTCTCTTACTGTTTTTAGAATTTTTTTAACCTTTGACTTTTGACAGTTTGACAATAATGTGCTGTGGAGAAGATCTTATTGAATGTAACTAGTTGGAAACCTATACACTTCCTGTACCTGGATATCTCTATCTCTTGCCAGACTTTAGAAGTTTTCAGCTATTATTTTATTAAATAGATGTTCTATCCCTTTCATTTTATCTTGCCTTCTGGGACACTAAAAATTCAAATATTTGATTGCTTTATGGTGTCCCATATGGCACATAGGCTTTGTTCACTCTTTTTCTTTTTTTTATTTTTGTCTGACTGGGTTATTTCAAAGGCCTTATCTTCAACTTCTCAAATTCTTTCTTCTGGTTCATCTAGTCCATTGTTGTAGACTTTAAATGCATTGTTTTATTTCATTAATTGAATTCTTCATTTCCAGTATTTCTGTTTGGTTCTTTTCTATGATATCTCTTTGGTTAATTTCTCATTCATATCCTGAATTGTTTTTTTCTGATTTCTTTGTATTGTTTACCTGTATTCTCTTACATATCACTGAATTTTTTAATGTCAATATTTTGAATTTTTTCTAGGATTTTATGAAATTTCATAAATTTCATTGGAATCTGTTGCTGGAGAATTATTGTGTTCCTCTGCAGGTGTCATATTTTCTTGCTTTTTCGTGTTTTTTGTGTCCTTACATTGATATCTGAGCATCTGGTGTAACAACATATTCTTCCTATTTTGGATTTGCTTTCCTAGGGGAGGGGAGGATTTTTCCTGAAGATATAACTATGGTGTTGGTTGGGACGGCACCTTGGCTTTGATTTTGGGTGTGTGAAGTAGTATAGTCCTTGTATAATTTCTTCAGCTGTAAACAGTGGTCATGGTGTCTGTGGTGTCATCCGTGGCTTAGGGTGTAGTTGTTAATGGAGGCTATGGTAAAGTTTTATTGGAGACAGGCATTCCAGGTAGGCCAGTTCTTGGGCCCCAGTAGTGGCAGTGGTGGACCAATCATGCCTGTACTTGGGCCTCAGGGTGGTGTATGCTGGCATCAGTGTTAGTGGGGCCAAGCAAGCTTATTCTTGGGCTTCCAGGTTGCTCGAGTTCCAGGGATGGCAGTGGTGGGCCAAGCATGTGGGTTGGTTGTTAGGTCCCTAGGCAGTGGGTGTGGGTGATATCACTAGCAGTGGTGGGATGACCCTCTGGCACTCAAGTGATCTGTGCTGGTGTTGGTGGTAACTACACCTGGCTAGGTAGGCCATTCCCCAGTCCTGCAAGTAGTGTATGCAGGTGGGTACCAGCTATGGTGGTAATGACAGGTTGGTTGGGTGTGACATCAGGATCCTAGAAGGAGTGGTTAGATACCAGTAGTGGTAGCCGGGGCTGGGTGATCCCCAGACCACTGAACAGCATGCTTGGACACTAGCAGGGATGGAGCCAGACTGGGTGTTCCTGCCCTCAGCCCCCATTGATGCATGCAGATGCTGGCTGTGGTAGGTAGGGGAAGCGTCATCCCCAGCCCCTGGTGGAATGCTCAGGTGGGAGTGACAACATCTATGCTGTGGTCCTGTTGTTGGGGAGGGCAATGTTGCTTTCTGTTGCAATAGCCACAGGCAGGCAGCTAGGGTGCACACTCTTGGGCTTCAGGTGGCAGTTGCAGGTGGAATATCTTTTAAATGTGGGGCTGTCCTGCTATTGGGGGCAGCAGAGTTGCTGCCAGTGGTTTGTACTTCAGCTCCAGTGGCAGCAGCCAGCAGTGGTGATGACTGTGGGCAGGGAACGTCATTGGGGCTCCAGGGATGTAGAGATGCAGGGAGCGTTGAGCCCGAGGGCAGGATGTAGTGTGTTGGGGATTGGGCTCAAAATGACATTGTGCTACAGTTGCTTAGGACCCAGTGTGAGCCCCCTGTCTGGAGCAGTGCCATTGTATGGTCTCTGCAACTCCCTATTTTATTCTCAGTGCTCATGGGAGTTGAGAGGCACTACTTTATGTAACATTCTAAATTCTTTGTTGTCATTTCAACAATATTCACAGCATCTTCACTACATGTACTGAATGTGCACTTCAGTACATTCCATGTCAAGAAACCACTTTCTTTGCTTATTCATGAGACGCAATCCCTCATCTGTTCAAGGTTTTTGATGAGACTGCAGCAATTCAGTCACATATTCAGGCTCCACTTCTAATTCTATATATCTTGCTATCTCTACCACATAGCGAGTGTGGAACCCAGCACAAGCTCCCTCTCCAAGTAGTGCCATGATATGGCCTCTGCAACTTTCTATTTTATTCTCAGGGTAGGTGAGGGTCAAGAGACTCTTCCATGGCTAGGATTTCAGGGGTCTGTGGTGGAAATGTGCACCACTGGGGATCTCCCACTTACTCTTTCCCCTGTTGGGAAGGCTCTCTGGGGTCCCAATTGATCATGGCTGAGCAGGCTGCCTCACTTTCCTCTCCCTCCTTGCTTTAGGTGTTTCCTGCCACTTGTCTGTTGAATTCCAGTATTCTCTCTTAGAAGATCTATTACAAGTGTGATTGTCTACTTGCTATTTCAGTGCTGCTTTGTGGAGGAGGCAAGTACCAGATGCCTCTAGTCAGCCATTTTTAAGCCTCTCTGCAATTTCTTAAAATAAGACAATGAGGTTTGCCTCATCAATTGACTCTTCACAAAAGATTTCTCTGTAGCATGTGATGCTGTTTGATAGCATTTTACTCACAGTAGAACTTCTTTCAAAATTAGAGTTAATCCTCTCAAACCCTGCCACTGCTTTATCAACTAAGTTTATGTAATATTCTGAATCCTTTATTGTCATTTCAACAATGTTTACAGCATCTTCACCAGGAGTAGATTCCATGTCAAGAAACCACTTTTTTTGCTCATCCATAAGAAGCAACTCCTCATCTGTTCAAGTTTTTTGATGAGATTGCAGCAATTCAGTCACATCTTCAGGCTTCTAATTCTAATTTTCTTGCTATTTCCACCACATTAGCAATTATTTCTTCCACTGAAGTCTTTAACATCTCGAAATAACCCATGAGGATTGGAATAAACTTCTTCCAAACTCCTGTTAAAGTTGCTATTTTGACCTCCTCCCATGAGTCATGAATGTTCTTAATGGCATTTAGAATGATGAATCCTTTCCAGAAGGTTTTCAATGTATTTTGCCCAGATGCATCCAAGGAATCACTATCTATGACAACTATAGCCTTACAAAATTTATTTCTTAAGTAATGAGACTAGAAAGTTGAAATTACTCCTTGATCTAAGGGCTGCAGAATGAATGTTGTGTTAGCAGGCACGAAAACAGCATTAACCTCCTTGCACATCCTTGCTCTGAATTAGGCTATGGCTTAGGGAAATGTTGTGGCTGGTTTGATTTTCTATCTAGCCCACTAAAACTTTCTCCATATTAGCAATGAGGCTTTTTACACTTTCTTATTATTTGTGTGTTCACTGGCATAGCACTTTTAATTGCCTTCAAAAACTTTTCCTGTGCATTCTCAACTTGGCCAACTAATTGGTGCCAAGAGTCTAGCTTTTGGCCTGTCTTCGCTTTCTGCCTGCCTTCCTCTCTATGCTTAATTTTTCCTAGCTTTTAATTTAACGTGAGAGACATGCAGCTCTTCCTGTCACTTGAACACTTAGAGGCCAATGTGGGGGTATTAGTTGACCTAATTTCAATATAGTTGTGTCTCAGAAAATAAGGAGGCCTGAGGGGAGAGAGAGAGAGAGAGCAAATAGCTGGTCAGTGGAGCTGTCAGGACACATGGAACATTTATCAATTAAGTTTGCTGTCTTATATGGGTGCTGTTTGCAGTATCCCAGAAGCAATTACAATAGTAATATCAACGATCACTAATCATCATAACAGATATAAAAATAATTTAAAAGTTTAAAATATTGTGAGAACTACTAAAATGTGACACATAGACATAATTTTTCCACCTGCTGTTGGAAAAATGGTACCAGTAGACTTGCTTGACAGAGCTGCTATCTACCTTCAATTTGTAAAAAGCACAGTGTCTGTGAATCACAAGAAATCAAAGCACAATAATATGAGGTATGCCTGATTTTTGCTGTTCTTTTTCTATGTTCTTGAAGTGAGAGCTTAGATTATTAATTCAAGACTTTCACCTCTAGGTCTTGAGCTGTAAGATTTTTCCTCTGCACTGTTTTAGCTGCATACCACAAATTTTAATATGTTGTATATTCATTTTTGTTTAGTTCACTATATTTCTCAAATTTTCTTGAGACTACCATGAGCTATTTATATTGGTTTCCATGTGTTTGGAGATTTTCATGTTATCCTTTTGTTACTGATTTCTAGCTTGAAATCCATGTAGTCAAAAAACATATTCTGTATCATTTTAATTCTTTTAAATTTGTTGAGGTTTATTTTATCATTCAGGATATGGCTTCCTTATATGAACGTGTATGCGTGTATACATATAAGTATACATATATATAAATATAAATATGTATAAATATGTATACATATTTATCTCTTCTGTGTATTCTTCTTCTTTTTTTTTTTTTAAGAGAATCTTACTCTGTCACCAAGGCTGGAGTGCAGTGGCACAATCTCACCTCACTACAACATCTGCCTCCTGGGTCCAAGCAATTCTCATGCCTCAACCTCCCAAGTAGCTGGGATTACAGGCATGCACCACCATGCCTGACTAATTTTTGTATTTTTAGTAGAGACAGGGTTTTGCCACGTTGGCCAGGCTAGTCTTGAACTCATTACCTCAGGTGACCCACCTGCCTCGTCCTCCCAAAGAGTTGGGATTACAGGAGTGAGCCACCGCGCCTGGCCTGTGTATTCTTCTGTTATTGGTTGGAGTGTTCTGTAAGTGTCAATTCATTCCTGTTATTTGATGGTGTTGCTAGGTTCTTCTATATCCTTGCTGATTTTCTGTCTAGTTGCTCCATCAATTGTTTAAAGAGGCTATTGATGCCTCCAACTATAATTGCAGATATGTCTATTTCTCCTTTCAGTTCTAACAGTTTTTGCTTTATGTATTTTGAAGCTCTGGTTTGCTGTGTGGAGAATGATTTAGAGGGGCAGGAGTGGATATAATAATAGCAGATAGAAGGTGACTGACAAGGTCGCAATGAAAATGTTCGTGGCCTGGATGATGGGAGTCAGCTGTCTCTCTGCATTCCAGGTCTCCCAGTTGAGATGCTTCACCTCATTTTTGCTATTCTCCCACTTTATACCTTCTTCTTTGGTGTTTATTCTCAAGAGTTTTTGTCACCCCCACTGACACACACACACACACACGCACCTGCCCTTTTTTCATTTTGAGGTATGGACCATTATTAGCTATCTATAAATGTCCACAAAATGTCAAAATATTAGCTTCTATGATTTACCTCTCCTACGGGTATTTGCATTAAAATGCAAATTAATATTATTTAATAATATTATAAAATTACTTTTTTTCAATAAGCAAAAAAGTGTTTTTAGGCACTATGAAAGGCCAATGCAGAAGACTGTTTTTGTATAACATAGAGAACTAAATTTTCTACCATTTCTAAGGGAGTCCCAGTTGAGGTAAATGCCTGTGAGGTTACTTTTGACAGGGCTGATGGTGGTGGGGTGGGAAGACCTCTTCTATTCCCTGTTTCCTCTTTTTGTTCTCTTCTCTTCTACTTCTGATTCCATCTTTTTACTTCTTCTTTGCACATCTCCATCCTTTCTGTTACTCTCTGCCTTGGGGGCAATGGAAAAAACCACCAGATGTCTGCCTTGAAGTTGTTTCATGAAGAAGGATCATGGTACTCCACAGAACACTATATAATGCTACACCCATTCTGTTTTGAATTTTTATTTTTCTGCTTAACATGGTTTCATGGCTTTCACCTTTCTCATCTCTGCATGGCTTCTCTGCTTGGTAGAGCCCAGACCGAGTTCTCATTCACAGCCACTTTATAACCTTCACCCATCCTTTCTTAGTGTGAGCACCTGACTGGAGCAACTAAGCCGGCTTCTTCAGTTGACCACACTACCATAGACAAAGAAGTTCTTGCAGTAGTGCAGGCTGGACATGTTGTCAGCTCTGATGAGGGTCTAGCAGCAGAGATGGAAAAAAGCAGAGAGATTAGAGACGTATTTAGGAGCTAAGATCATCAAGACTTAGTGATGTGTTTGTCATCTTTGAGGGTCCAGCTTAAATATCTCATATCCATGTAGTTCTCCCTCTATGCATTTCTTACAAAACATGTTTCTCATTTGTGCTCTCATAGTTCATAGTGCATACTCCAATGTGTCACTTTCTGTTTATGTATCTAAATCTTCCACTGAGTCATGATCTGAAGGGGGAGATAATGTCTCATGTCTCTTAGTATTACTAACATCCAGCACCCAGCTTAGTGAAGGGAGAAAGGTGTGAAAAAAAGGAAGCAAAGTCCTCATTAAAATATACATATGAATCTTGAGCTAGATGTTGACCCCAAAACAAACCTCACGAATGCCTGGCATTGTAGGCATACCAGAGACCCTTAGGTCCATCCTAGCTACTTGTTGTGTCCTTGACTGTGACATCACTGTAAGTCAGTATCTCAAATGACAGGGGACAGCTGACTTGTAATGGGGTAACTGGAAGACCAGGGAAACATAAACATGAACACCCCTACCCACTACCATTCCTCAGGCAGAAATTGAGGCCGACAAAGCGCCTTGGGTCCTTTTATGCAATAAACTTAAAACTTTGGCAACATCTCTGTGTAAAGAGAGCTGCCTTTAAGAGTCGTGTGAGTTGGCACTAAGCCTGTTTTCCTTCTCTCAGATCCCTAAAGAGCACAGTTTGAAAACAGAAAATGAAGGAAATAAACCAATACAACCCCATGTAATCATGTGGCACACTTACTCCGTTGTAAGAGAGGTACTTTGCAAGTTGTGGGCATGCTTTTTTTTTTTTTTTTGAGATGGAGTCTCACTCTGTCACCCAGGCTGGAGTGCAGTGGCGCGATCTCAGCTCACTGCCAGCTCCGCTTCCTGGGTTCACGCCATTCTCCTGCCTCAGCCTCCCAAGTAGCTGGGACTACAGGCGCCCGCCAACATGCCCGGCTAATTTTTGTATTTTTAGTAGAGACGGGGTTTCACCGTGTTAGCTAGGATGGTCTCAATCTCCTGACCTCGTGATCCGCCCGCCTCGGCCTCCCAAAGTGCTGGGATTACAGGCATGAGCCACCACGCCCAGCATTGTGGGCATGTTCTCTTTAGTGTCAGAAGGATGGTACATTCAGAGGAAGAGAAGCTTACTATGAACTGGGACAGTCAGAGAGGTCCTGATGGATAAGATGAGATTCAAGAGGGACGTGGTTCCATGGATAATGTAAAGACTCCATGAAATTAAATAATTAGGAATCCATAAGATATTTTGGTAAATATAATCAATAGTAAATATAATGAGCACCTACTATATGCAGGACACAGAGACTGGTCTTATGCAGGTGTAGGAAGAAATTTAAAACATGGAGGGAGGTGCTTACCCTCAGTGAGTTTTAGTCTTAGAGTATAACACCCTTGAGCCCTAAAAATGGTGAGTCCAGCTCCAAAACCCACAGCTTCATGCCCTCTAATCCATCACTGGATAAAATACCCAAATCCTGGCAGATCACTGACACCATCAGAACATGTCAACACTCCAGGATCTTTTGAGGAGTGGACTCTGCTCCTCAGTCTCATCAGGACTGTGAGGAATGCTTCATGAATACCTGTCATCTTCTCAGGAAACAGCTGGAGATGAAGCATGGCTGTCATTGCATTTCTCTTACTGTGATTGTTCAGAATGCTCCGACAGAGCTACCAAGGAGGAGGAATGGCACAACATGATGACAAGATTAATTAGCATCTGCAAGACTGGACATGGCTCCCCAAGGGATTCTTCCCATGCTCTGCCATGGCTGCCTCTGGTACCCTCCCCCTGCCTTGAGATGTCACCTCTGATGTGTCTGGGTCCCCAGCTGGCTTACAAGCTCTTGTGACATCAGTGGCACATTTTGTGGCACTGCATTTAGAAAACTGTAAAGCTGGTATATGCACTAGAGATCTGTCCTTCATTTTCTTCATTTTGTATTTAATGCTGTCCTAACTCCACAAAATAGAGACCTGGAAATGTCAACAATTGGATATAGTATAAGAATTTTAAAAGTAGATTTTAAAAGCACAAAGGCAAATTTAAGTTCAATATTATGGATAATGCAGTATTCTGTATTTAGTAGCAATGAGATCTTTCAGACCTTTCTTTATTTTGAAATATATTATCTTCTAAGGAGTGTAAGAAAGATAGCCTCTGTCTAAACCAGGGGCATGAAAATTACATCCTCTAGGAATTTGAGGAAACATTGCAGAGGGCATTTGACTGCCTGGAGTCTGTCGGAAAGATAAGGCTTTATATGCTTCAGTAATATCCTAGAGCAAAATAACAGCCACTGTTGAGCACTGATTTATGTAACACCCCAGTGTACCGGGCACTATTGTATATGATACCCCAGCGAAATAGATATTATTACCATCTTCGTTCCCAGGATTATAAAGTTGAGAACAAGAACAGTGGGGTAACTCGTCCAGTGTCAATTATCTAGTGCATGTTTAAGCTTGCATAAAGCCCAGATATATTTGACTCCCATCTGTAGTCATGGCCACTGTCCCTGTTGCTCTTGAATAAAAGATTGAGGGATCTGTCTTAACCTGTTCACACTGCATAACAAAATCTATAAACTGAGTGGGTGGCTCATAAACAACAGAGATTTCTTTCTCACATTTCTGAAGGCTGGCAAGTCTAAGATCAAGACAGATTTGCTGTCTGGAGAGAGACCACTTTCTGGCGTATAGATGGCATCTTCTTGCTGTGTCCTCCCGTGGTAGAGGGGGCGAGGGTCTCTCTGGGGTCTCTTTTTATTTTTTTATTTTTATTTATTAATTTTTTTTTGAGACGGAGTCTCGCACTGTCGACCTGGCGGGAGTGCAATGGCATGATCTTGGCTCACTGCAACCTCCGCCGCCCAGGTTCAAGCAATTCTCCTGCCTCAGCTTCCCCAGTAGCTGGGATTACAAGTGCACACCACCACGTCCGGCTAATTTTTTGTATTTTTAGTAGAGACAGGGTTTCACTATGTTGGCCACCCTGGTCTCGAACTCCTGACCTCGTGATCCACCTGCCTTGGCCTCCCAAAGTGCTGGGATTACAGGCATGAGCCACCGTGCCCAGCCTGGGGTCTCTTTTATAAGGACACTCATCCCATTAGTGCCATTAGCTCTGCCCTCATGATCTGGTTGCCTCTAAAAGGCCCCGCCTCCTAATACCATCACCTTGGGGCATCGGATTTCAACACATGAGTTTTGTGGAGCACAAACATTCAGAACATAGCAGGATCCAATGATTAATTCATTTTGTGAATTGTTACTTGCAGTCCTATAACTATGCCACAGTGTTACCTTAGAACGTTAATTAAATGTGAACTGCTCTTCCAGGCCAACGATAGTACAAAATCTACAACAATTTTTAGTTTCAAGTATTTTACCTGACACACTGAAACTTTTCCAAAGCATGAAAACATATTTTTTAAATGTTCTTCAAATTGAGTGGATTTCATCTTTCTCCAGTCACCTACTTAGAACTGAAATACTCATGTTTGTTGGGGAGTACAGCCTCAGCTTTCAACTCATGAGATCCAAAGAGACAGTGGAACCAAGTAGCTCTCTTTTTTTCTTTTTTTGTAGGTGAGTCAGAAGCCAGCCTGTGTGTTACAGAAGGAAGTTCTCCCCTCTGCCTATGAGCTCGTTTTACATCACCCAGGAGAATCTTTCAGACTCTAATCATATTGGCCAAGGTTCTTCCATCACTAGCATGACTATTGACAGGAGAAAGTATCAATAGAACAGGACATGTTCAGATTTAGAAGGTAGAGCAGAGTGAAACAAAGTGAGTGTAATAATTCCTACAATAGGCCGGGCTCGGTGGCTCACGCCTGTAATCCCAGCACTTTGGGAGGCCGAGGCGGGCGGATCACGAGGTCAGGAGATCGAGACCATCTTGGCTAAGACGGTGAAACCCCGTCTCTACTAAAAATACAAAAAAAATTAGCCAGGCGCGGTGGCGGGTGCCTGTAGTTCCAGCTACTCAGGAGGCTGAGGCAGGAGAATGGCGTGAACCCGGGAGGCGGAGCTTGCAGTGAGCCGAGATAGCGCCACTGCAGTCCGGCCTGGGCTAAAGAGCGAGACTCCATCTCAAAAAAAATAAATAAAATAAAATAAAATTCCTACAGTAATTTTTATGTACTTCATGGTAGTACATAAAAATTGTGAAAATGAATATGCTGCGTGGAGTTTTTTTTTCTCCCAGTG
Source organism: Homo sapiens (assembly GCF_000001405.40). NCBI lineage: Eukaryota > Metazoa > Chordata > Mammalia > Primates > Hominidae > Homo > Homo sapiens. The sequence goes on along the minus strand of NC_000012.12, from coordinate 47,415,640 downwards.
GACACACAACATTGAATGATTCATTCACTGTTGGAGCAGAATTTTTTACCCTGGATCAATTGTGTGCCTTCCTGATGATACTTTAATAGAACAAGTGGGCACAGAGTGACAGATGATGACGGGAGGCTCAGACACAAAGTAGAACTACTGTTGCCTGGAGCCAAACAAAAATTATACCATTTAAAAACTCAGAATCCAAGAGCTAATATGTTGTCCACAAAAGAACAAAAGGCAGAAAGTTTATGCTAAAATGAGGTAAGTTATAAATGTCAGTAACTCATAAAATGGGTATGTCCCATTGGGACCTAAAGAGTTAATATATAAAAGGAAACAGATTGAGGTCAGGTAGCCTCATGAAAATCTCAAATGCTGTGACACAGAGACAAACGTGGTACTGACGACTCATACCTGGGCTTGATCCAAGAGGCCTTTTCGAAAGTAGAGGCCTTTGTCTCTCCAGACCTGAGCCTCCTTTTTTGAAAGGGACTCTCTCTGATGTCCATGGAGTTGAAAGAGAAGCTCTGCTTTATTGGAGAAACTCCTTTCTACAGAATCACCTGCACGAAGGCAGACATTTGCAGGGAAATGAGACTGGCTTATATGATTAATTCTATCAAATGGATTTAAAATTAATCCACAGAAAGATAGAAAGAGGAAATGACACTCTGACAATAGCAGGTCTTCATGATGTTCTTTCCCCCATAATTTACTCCAAGTGAAGGTAGAAACCAGGACACAGAACTTTTGTCACAGATGGAAAAAGAAAAAGGGATGCCAGTCATTTTGTTCTAATTCATTTGCATTAAAAAAAAAAATCCTTCCCTCCTGGTTTCCATAGCTACTCCACCCCCTCAGTCTTCATTTGTAACTTGTCTGAGGGACAGGTCAGGGACTAGTGGCACCGGTGCCTTCTCACCCCCACCACAGAAGAGGGTGTCAGAATCACATGCCCTGCATGATGCTAATCACCCCAGCGCCCCCGACAACAGCAAAGCAAACCCAAACAGAACCCTCTCAACCTAAACAATCTTCCTTTCCCCTTTTAACTCTGAAGCTCTTATAAAAAACAGATATTTCAAGGATGTCCTTTAAGCTAAATACAAACTAGAACATTGAGGTAAAACACAATTATCTGCCCTAAAGTAAAAATATAGATTTTTAATATTTCCAATAAATATATTTCAAATCACCAGTTTGAGGTGTGGAATAAGTTCATATTTATTTTAGTGTTGAAACCATAGTAAGTGGAAAAAAAAAACCCTCTAGGTTGACAAGAAGACCAATCTTTCTCCTAGGATTTCCCTCCCCAGTTGATTTCTAGGGACCCTCAAGTCCATCCTGGTGGTTTTTGGTCACCACCACCCAGGAACACATTCTCTGGTCCTCACTTCATCTTCTCACACCTTCCTGAAATTGTTCCTGAAGACTGTTTTCTTTCCCATGACTATTCATTCCAAGTGTCAGTAGCCTTCCCTCTCTTAATGTTCTCAAAATAGAAAGAAAGGGATCCAGGCAGGGATATTAACAACTCTTTACTGAATGTCCAGGAATGTTCATTCTTGAGAACCTCAGGCCCTGAGTAGAACCTCAGGGTCTATGCCAAGTTCCTGACAAGCTCACATGGCATGGGATGATCTCATCCCCTACTAGGGAGAAACCTCTGGAGCCAGGGCCCTAAACCCCTCTGCTCCTTGTAAACAGAAATGTAAAGGTGTAATGAGCAAACACATGCAAAGACCTTTGCACACCTGGTACATAGTGCTTAATAAGAGATAACTGCTACAATAAAGATTAGGAGCTAGAAAAAGGCAAAATTTGCCTTTGGTTGTCATTGCTTCTTCTTTCTTTGATTCCCTTCCTTCCTTCATCTCTCTGCACCACAATATATCTAATTTTTAGCCCCTCAGTGCCTAAAGTCCCCTAGGTACTGCCCCAGTAGCTTTCAACTTCTGCTCAGTTAAAAACATCAATCCCATGTCTCTTTTTTGTCAGGTCTTTAATATAATGTGACAGTAGTTGACACCAGTTCCTCAAAGGAATGGTTCAGAACCACATAAGAACCTTGAAAATAGGGAATTTCTGTCTTTTTGCAAACAGAATGGTATCAATGTAAGTTTCAATTATTAAGGTGTTCGGGAAAGGTCGGAAGTCTCTCTTGGCCTTTCTGATTGTGCCACTTAAGCAGGTGATTGCCTGTTTTATTGTTTCCAAATAACTTGCCACAGGATATCCATTTAGCTGGTCCAAGGAAGAAGATTCATATTTCCCTGACTTGTAGAAATATGTGTTGAAGTTTGGAGGAAGAAAAGGGCTTGCCCTGGAGAGTTAACCACTGATCTGTGGAATAAACTTTAATTTTCTTCAAATAAAGGAAGCAGCTTTTATCTTCCACAGAAAACTCCATCTCTTAGTCTGGCATCGCAGCAAATTTCCTAGGCTAAATAGAGCATTGCCAGAGCTTCATAGTAGATCCTTGGGAACATTTACATAGTGTAAACCTAATTCCCATACAAGGACCGTGTGGTCTATAGTGTAGGGAAGCTGGTGTGGCAGTGGGATGGCAATAGTGGTGGTGGTGGTGGTGGAGTGTGTATGTGTGCGTGTGTGTGTATGCACCTGTCAGAGATGGAAAGCAGAGTGAAATAAATGAGTCAGTTCATTACATCTTAAAGTTTATGGAGCTCTCCAATTTAGCTCTAAAAAGAAACCCCAGAAGAAACAAAGGCAACCTTATTTTGTTGGATCTTATTACAACCATTTTCAGCCAAATAGAGCTTGTTTCACTTTGATTTTACAGGAAATAAACTTAGCATCCCATAGAGCTTAGTGATTGTGGAGTGCTACTGTCATAAGAATTAACCATCTGCTGAATATGTAGGCAAGAGTTGTTACTGTCTAGATTTGAAGATAGATCTTTCCATGGATTCAGATGATTTCAGAAAAATTTTTATAATGAGAATTAACTCTAAATGAGCCATCTGCCAGTGGTCTCTGGTCCAAACTAGAGCTGCCTCAGCCACACTGATCAAATACCTCTGAGTAGAAAGGATCCTTGGTCAGCCACACCAACTGGATGTGTGCTCTGAGTGCTTGTTAGTTTGTGTTTCTAATCCTACATGAGTTGTGGTTTGTCAGCAGTTTACATATTAATATTAACAAAAGGGAAAAGACTAAATTATTGTTTACAGATTATCTTATTTTACAATGAGAAAACCTAAAACATTAATTAAGAGGTCAGAATAAAGTGGCTAGATACATTAAAATCAGCATGTAAAACTGTGATGAGGAAAATGGTGCATCCCAGCTTGGCTGTGATAAGATCTTAATGACAGGACACTGTCAGCCAATGCCCAGAGACAGCCTGGCATGTAAGCCCCCTGAGAAGCTCTCAAGGTTTTGAGGAGAATCCATAAGCAGTTAAATTCTGTCCTTTGATAACCCCTCATTAGCCTTCCTAGCAGCAGACTGTCTAGACTGACTTCTTTGCTGGACATGAACCAATAAGTTTACCCAGAAAAATGTGCAAACAAAATTCATTCTCCCTGACTACTTTCAGTTTTTCTGTCTTCTTTCTCCTACAAATTCTGGTTTTTGCCTTCTTTTCTTGACCACAGTCTACTGATTTTTTCTTCCTTGTATGAGTAAATATGCATGCATATGACAAACTAAAGATTATGCTATATCAATAATCATTTGGAAAATAATTTTAAAAAGAGATCACATTGTAAAAATGAATCCATCAAAATCTAAAACCCCCACCTGGCATGAATTTCAATAAAAGGTCTTTTTAAAAAATGTATATGGCTGTGTTTTTATTGCTATGTGACAACCCACCCCAAAACTTAGCAGCTTAAAACAACCACTATTTTATTTGTTCCTGAGTCTTGGGTTGGTTGGGACTCAGCTGGGTGATTCTCCTGCTGGGGGTTGCTCATGCTGTTGCACTTAGGTGGTGGATGGGGCCACAGCATTCAAGATGGCTACATTCATGCGTCTGGAACCTTGGCAAGGACAGCTGGAAGGCTAGAACACCTCCCCCGTCCTCCCCTGCCAGCCTTGCTTTCTTTGTCTCCATGTCACTTTCTCAGTACAACTAACTTGGACTTTGCATAATGGGAAAGCCTTCATGTGTGAGCACTTTTCAATCCTCTGCATGCATCACGCTTGCTACTATCTCATTAGCCAAAGTCAGTGTGGGCAGGGCCTATACAAGAGTGTGAATATAGAAGGCAAGATGTTTTGAGGATCACCAAGGTAAAAGTCCACCACAATGGCCCTCTCTGCTCATCCTCCAGTGGCATCACTGTATTCTGTAATTGCTAGTTTATTATCAGACTGTAAGTGCTGTGAGTTACAATCTTATTTTAGTATCCTCAGAGCCTAGCATGGTACCTGGTCAGCACGGAAATATGCATTGAATGAATGAATGAAGGAGTAAACATGTTGAGTAACCTACTTCCATAATTGCTGGTAGAGCTTGTGACATCAATTCTTACCTTGTTTTCCCTAATTCCTGCACTGCCTCCCTCCTGTGCCAGGTGTGAGGTGTCAAAACATACAGAAAGAAATGCATTCAGCTGAGCTCTGCCTGCTTTTGTCACAGCTTTACAAGTCTCTGGGTCATGTCTCTCTTCACTGCTTTTAGGGAACATTTGAATCCTGCAAGATACTTGGCGTGGAGTGGTTTTGTATAGCAATTTTTTAAGTAAGGCGGATTTAGAAAAGAAGCCTAACATTAACCCCAGACTTCATGGAAAAATGTGAGTAGTTAGAGAAGAAAAGCACAGAGAGGGTGTATGGTCCAGGATGAGCCTGGCTGAGAGGACCAGCCATGCTGGAAAGAATACAAAGAATACAGTGCCATCACTAACAGAAGATAAAACATTTCTTACAAGATGCAGTTGTACTCAGAAGAAGCCTGGTGAGCCCAGACAAGCAAACTCTCTTTAAGTATATTATTCTGTTCTTTTGAAAGGTTGCTATGATTTAGTTGAAAAGATGTGCAGGCTCAGCTCTGAGTGTTAGCTTTGAAATTTCATTATTTGCTCTTGTGATGTGGGCTGGCATTTTCCTTCTCATGGGCTGTGAAATAACAGGGTTAGGCCACATCTGCAGGTCTCACTCTGTGCTCCTTATGCCTGCAACCCAGGGAAATGTCTGGGTAGGGTGAGGGGGCTCCCTGACTTTAACCAGATCACCTCTGCTTTCATCTTTTTTTTACCTATGTTTTCTCTTATGTTCTGCCTAAGACCTTGTTTGAACAAAGAGTTCTGGTCCTAAAACACATATTATTTAAAAAAAATTCTTTCATCTCTAGAATTCTATGGCTTTTCTCAAATCCACAGACTCCCTTGAATGTTCAATTATATAGTTTCATTTTATCTTTCTTCTGGGAAGAGAAAAAAATAGGTAAATAAGTTGTGTTAGAAAAGCAATCCCTGGCTTTATATTTTGTTTTGTGTTTATTTTGACATCCATAACAATGGTTAGGAGGGTGTCCAGAATACCATTTCTTTTGATGGTCTCAAGGATGGAAGGGCAGTTTACGAACATCCCTTTCTAAGCCCTATGTAGCTGCTTTCCAAATTATTACCGATTTTGGAACCCTTGGAGTCTGAAGACTAAGTATGCTATTTGTGTTTTGTATTCTCACACAGTCTTTGCTTCCTGGGCTTATTAAGTAGAAGATTTTTGGTGTTAGCAGGGCAGTCTTTTGAAGCTCTGTCCCATTTGCTGATTGTCAGAATTGTCTCTTGGCTGTGGTGCATGAATATGCTTTCATTCATTCATGAGCAAACTCCTGCTATGTGCCAGGCATTGTTCTAGGCACTGGGGAAACAGCTGTGAATGGAACAGACCTCCTGCGCTCGTGGATTTACAGTCTGCAAGCATGAGCAGGAGAGGGAGACAAAGAAAAAAGTAAATAAATCAGACACTTCCAGGTAATGGTAAGTGCTATAAAGAAGATGAACAGCAAAATAAAGGAAAGAGAATGAATGGTATGGTTGTAGACTCTCTGAAGAGGTGGTATTTTGGCAGAAAAAAATGAGAATGTATCAATCATTCAAAAAGCTGGGGCATGGAAGAGTGTGGGGGCGGAGAATGTTCTAGAAAAGGAGAGCAACAGGTGTGAAGCCTGGAGATGAAACAGAACTTTATATTTTGAGGAACAAAAAGAAAGCTGGGATGACTGGGCACTACTGAAGGAGGAAAATAAAATGGCAGGACATGAAGTTGGAGGGAGGTCAGATCATGGAGGGCCTGGAAGGACACAGAAAGGAGTTTGGATCTTGTTGCAAGTACAGTGCTATTTAGAGGCTCGTTGGTTGCTGAGTGAAGAATGACTCTATGCCATTGCCCTATTTTATCTTCTTAATAGCACCCATCATAATCTGGAATTAACTTACCTGTTAATGTGTTTACCTGTTTATTGCCTTTCCCTTCCACCCCGACACCAACAGAATGTAAATTCCTAACGTGACAGTTTTGCCTATCCTATACACCGAAGTGTCTAAAACATTGTAGGTACTAAAAAATCATTTAGAGAAGGAATGAATGAATGTACTTGTTCATTTAGACAGATAAGCCTGAGAGAGGCAGGTGTGGTATATGAGAGGGTGACGAAGTAGAAACTAATAAAATATTTGCTAATATTTTTCTAGTTGTACCTGGGGCCAAAGAGACTGTATGATTTTCTGCACACTCCTCACCCACCCCCATATTACATACAGGTGCAATGTGATTACAGTGAACTTGAAGTCCACCCTGGGGTGTGAGGATATATGTGTATATGTATACACTATATATCACCTCAAACTGTGATGAAATGTGGGGAGGGAAGACATTTGAGGCTGGACAGATCTGGGTCCAAATTCCTCTTCTGGCTTTTGCCTGACATATGATTTTGAGCAAGTTATTTTAAAACCTCAACCCTGACAGCATGACTCTCTCATGTGTGTTTTCTATGAGGCAGTTACTCTGCTCTGTGCTTCTCTTCCCAATGTGAGAAGAAAATGGCCTGCCCTGGTGACTGGGAAGGGTGATATGGCAATTATAGGGATGGGGGGCAGCTGTAAGATGGTGCACTTGTGTTTGGCACCAGCTAAATTGCCCAGCTCTGTCCTACCTGCTGCACCTTGAGCCACTGCACATCCACAAAAGCATCCTAGAGAGGGCACTGCAGAGCCACAGAACCTGTGGGTTTCACTTCCTGAAAAAACAAAACCAGGAAACGATAACAAATACCTTGAGTGCTCACTATGTGCCAGGGATTGTTCTAACCATTACTCATATTGACCAACTCAATTATTTATCCTAAGGACCTACTTTACAGGTGAGGAAACTAGTTACATACAGGGCACATGGGTAATGAGTAGCAGTGCCAGGAGTCGAACCTAAGTAGTTTCATTCCAGAGCCTGAGCTCTTGACACTCCCTGTGGCATGACAGGTGGTTCAAAATGCTGGTAAAATGAGTCTGTATCCATGGCTGTGGTCTCAGTGGTGAAGTAGTGTCCCTTGCACTCCCACAGGGCCCTTTCTTGGACCAGGCTTCTAGCCAATCATACCTGTGTCCTATGGCTTAATGTCGCATGGCCTAGTGGCTGCAGAATGGCCTCAGTCTGTGACACATTGAGTTTATATTCTTCTTTCAGATAAGAGAAAAATCTCATGGCCTCTAGTGACTGGTATGTGTCCCAGTTCTTTTCCCTCCTCCTCTGCATGATGGCAGGGGCACGGTCTTCCTCAGAACACCTGTGCTGACATCATATACCAGCATTTTTTCAGTTGCTGTCTTATTTTATCTCCTATGTAAGCTGCATTCCTGCTGCACACACACAGTGTCTAGCATATAGTGGGTGTGCAATGCACACTAAATGAATAGGAAAAAGGATAATTTCAGATAGTGATGAAGAACCATTATAGAAATCGAACTCCTGCCTTCTGCAAGTCCAGGATCTGTGCCAAGTGAAAGAGCTGACGTTACGCCATTGGCACAAACAGAGAACCATATTAAAGTGCAATGGCAAATTTAAACATTAAAGCATGAGAAGTATTTTTGTTACTGCACCTTGCCAAATGGAACTGAAGCAGATTTTGATATAAAAATTGACAGGAAGCAAAAGTGGAATGGATAAAAATAGAAAAGAAATTACCAAGCCTTGAAAGGAAGTACACAAGATGAAAATGGAATTAAATCCACCTTGACTGGAGGAGATTATATTTTAAAAAATGAATAAATTGACAGCAAATTAACATGTAGTACATCTACAATCTGCCTTTAAGGAATAACAAAAGATATTTTTATTATCTCAATGCAGAAATTTTGGTTGATTTTTTTTTTCCATTACTTCCTGAAATGAGAGGTTTAGTTTTATATAGAACTAAGTGTTATGCTTTGCCCAACTGCTTGGGTGCACACGGAGGAGTCTGTATTGTGTTTCTCTCTGGATGCAAGTATTTTCTTGGATGGAATTTTCTGTGAACTTGAGATTGTGTGATTGCCTAGAGATTGGGGCATGTCTCTCTCTCTCTCTCTCTCTCTCTCTGTGTGTGTGTGTGTGTGTGTGTGTGTGTGTGTGTGTGTGTGTGTTGGGGGGTGGGTATTTGAGGGCATGCAAGATGAAACATTCCAGAGTTGAAATCCTTAGGAGAAGTCCAATATGGCAAAAGCGGAGCCCAACTAGAAAACTGAAGCCCTGAAGACTCTTTCCTGAAGCTTTGTGTCACAGTTACATGACCCTGGGTAAATCACATTTTCTCTGGGTCTCAGTTTCACTATTTATAAAATAGAGATAATAATTTCTACTTTTCCTACCCGTTAATGAGGATCTAATTTGATAATGGACCTGAAAGTACTTTGAAGACATTTGCTATGATCCTAATGCAAGGAATTATTGTTATAATTTTTTTTCTAAGCAATGAGGTTATTGTTGTGTAACTCTAAGATTGCGAGGGGATTTCTTTGAAAAGCAGAGGAGAAGCAGTATATGATAATTCCTTATGTTTATATAGTTGTTCGTCATTTTTAAGATCCACAATCTATATTCACTACCAGATTTGTCCAATAATCCTGCAAGATAGGCAGCTCTTTGGGCAGATGGAGAAAGACTGAAGGAATTGCACAGGGTGTCCCAGCTCTTGCATGGAGGAGCCAGCACTAGAACCCACACAATCCACAGTGGCCCAAAAAGTCACCATGCTGGAGTTGCCTGCATTCTTCACAGGTGTGTGTGTGTGTGTGTGTGTAAATAACATCTGATTAATAAGAACACACAAGAAATTGAAGTCTTTGTCTCAAGCTTTCCTCTCCAAATCTTGCTCTTATGGACATAATATGCCATTTGGTTTGAGCCTTGGAGGCAGTTGTTAATAAATATGTGCTGTACAGATCCCGGTGCTGGCTGCTACAGAGACACTGGTGAAGAGGGCATTGATTTGGTCTTTGGGAAACTTCTGGTCTACAGGATAAGACAGACATGTAAACAGGGAAGGGCATCGTGTGATGAATATTATGCCTGAGGTGAGATGACTCTGTGAGGCATCCAAGAGAGGCCCTGCTACTACTCTTTGTGGGCTCGAGGAGGCCTCCAGAAAGAAGAGGTGTCTAAGGTGAGACATGAGGATGAGCAGGAGTTAAGAGGGTCAAGGAGGAAAATGTATCAGGCAGAGGCAGTGGCAGTTTCGAAAGCCTGGAAGGGAAAAAAGCAGAATATTTGGGAGACAAAGTGTTTCCAAAAGGCTGAGGCACAGAGTGTCTACATACTGTGATGGAAATATTGGGGTGATGGGCCAGGCGCGGTGGCTCACACCTGTAATCCCAGCACTTTGGGAGGCCGAGAAGGGCGGATCACGAGGTCAGGAGATCGAGACCATCCTGGCTAACACGGGGAATCCCCGTCTCTACTAAAAATACCAAAAAAAAAATTAGCCGGGCATGGTGGCGGGCGCCTGTAGTCCCAGCTACTCAGGAGGCTGAGGCAGGAGAATGGCGTGAACCCGGGATGCGGAGCTGAGCTGAGATCGCGCCACTGCACTCCAGCCTGGGGGACAGAGCGAGACTCCGCCTCAAAAAAAAAAAAAAAGAAAAAAGAAAATGGGGTGATGAAAATGTTCTCACACTGGCGTGTGGTGATATGGGCACAACTCTACATTTACTTAAAAACAGCACAACTCTACATTTACCTAAAAAAATCATAGAATGTGGCCGGGTGTGGTGGCTCAAGCCTGTAATCCCAGCACGTTGGGAGGCCGAGGCGTGCGGATCACAAGGTCAGGAAATCGAGACCATCCTGGCTAACACGCTGAAACCCAGTCTCTACTAAAAATCCAAAAAAAAAAAAAAAAAAAAAAAAATATATATATATATATATATATATATATATATATATATATATATATATATATATATATAAAATTAGCCGGGCGTGGTGGTGGGTACCTGTAGTCCCAGCTACTCGGGAGGCTGAGGCAGGAGAACGGCATGAACCTGGGAGGCGGAGCTTGCAGTGAGCCGAGATGGCGCCACTGCACTCCAGCCTGGGCGACAGGGCGAGACTCCGTCTAAAAAAAAAAAAAAATCATAGAATGTGAATTACCTCAATAAAGGTAATCTATGAAGGAGCGGGTAATAGGAGCAGAGTAGCCGCTGGTGAGAAATGAGACCAATGACACAAGCTGGGGTCTTGGGGAACCTCGATCGGTTTTATCAGAAGAGTGGCATGGTCAGATTTATCCTAAAGAAGGAGTACTCTGGAAGTGCATGGAGAAAGAAGAGAAGAAATTCAGTTAGCAGATAAGGAGGCCAGTGGTCCATGCAAAAAAGAATGATGGGTCTGGACTTGGGTGATGGCAGTGGAATGGGGAGGTGAAGGAGAGTGAGAAGCAAAGGATGGCACCAGGACCTTCCATCCATGCATGTGGAACAGTTGCATATTTGAAAACACCTCAACAATTGATTGACTTTTTTCATCAAACATGATAATTACATGAAGCTACATTTCCCTGGAGGCTGCTTTATTTTTCTCCCATCTAAACCAGGGAGCAGAGACACATGGATGGGGCTGTGACTGCCTTTGTTTCCTCTCTTTGCCCCTTGAGGAGATGAATTTACTCCTATGTTCCTTTTTCCACCTTTCGGCCACTGTATTTCTCCTCTCTTACAGTCCTCCAGTTCTTAAGCTGTAGTAACTTAAGTCAAAGCATTATTGATTAATTATGTTCCCACTTTAAATATGATTTGTGCTAAAAAAAAAAACTGAAAAGGAATGAAAACACATGTCCATGCAAAGACTTGTCCATGAATGTTCATGGAGCAGTATTATTCAGAACTAGAAACTACCCAAATGTCCATCGACAAGTGAATGGATAAATAAAATATGGTATGTTCATTCAATAAAAAGGAAAAACTCCCAATACATGCTATGACATAGACACATCTTCAAAACAGTATGTTAAGTGAAAGACATCAGATGTAAAATACCACACATTGCATGATTCTATGTACATGAAATGTCCAGAAAAGCGAAGTCTATAAAGACAGAAAGTAAGTCAGTGGTTGCCTGGGGTTGGAGGTGAGAATGGCACTAGACTACAAATGGACATGAGGGGTGTATTGGGGTGATGAAATTGTTTGAACACTGGCATGTGGTGATATATACATAGCTCTAAATTTACTAAAAATAAAGTCATGGAATGGAAATTACTTTAATAAAGCTGTGAAAGAAGGAAAGAAAGAAAAGAAAGAAGGAAAGAAAAAGAAAGAAAAAAAGAAAGAAAGAAAGAGAAAGAAAGGAAGGAAGGAAGAAAGGGGAGAGAGAAGAAAAGAGAGAGAGAGAAGAATTCTGAAGGAAAGGATGATAGTATAGACGTGCATTTGAAAGGGCCAGTTATTGCTGGGCAGTGTCAGAGAGGAGGGGCTGGAGCCTACAATATCACTTTCTCATAGGCATGAAGAAGCCAGGGGTCTAGGCTAGCTTCAAAGCACTTTGAGGAACAAGGTCAGTTTCTCAGGGTATGTCAAGTTCTGAGCCAGACTTGAAGTTGGAGGGCCATGGGATAGATGGCTTGTCCTATCGACTGTGGTCAGTGGATGTCTCTGAAATAGCAGGCAGGCAAGCTAGGGGTCCAACTGTGTATCACAAGGTGCCCCACTCTGGACTGGACTCAGGAGGATTGTCTAGTCCTCAGGGATGGATACTGTCAAAAACAAGGCACAGCTCTGGCCTCAGGTTTCCTTTAAAGAGAAGACCAGACTCTGAGCTGAAGAAGAGTTACCAAGACAGAAACCCAGCTATAAGAATTGGAACCTCAGGGAGCACTGAACTCAGAGAGGTCATCAGAACAGGCTTCTAGAATCAGGGCATCCATGAATCCTCATCAGCCCTGGGCCTAGGTAGAGGGGTGTGTCTGGGCATGGAGATGGCAGGTGGCAATGATTAGAATCAGGATGCAAAGGTTGAGTCTTATATTAGTAATCACACTGGGCCCAGACTGAGGCTGGTGCACTTCATGCTCTGCCTGGGTTCTGGACAAAATTAGGAGTTCTAAATGCCCACATTTCTCCCACACCTGCCATGTGTAATTCAAAATATAAACAACATGAAGCTCTATAATAACTGTATGAAAGACCAACAAAAATCTTATTTGTTCTCATGATGACCTCATCAGAGCTTTAAAAAATATATATCGGGAAAGTTCTAACTTCCCCTTAACCCACGTTCTTTATCTCCTTCCCTGTTATGTGTTATCACCTTCTTACATACCATATAAGGTGTTTTAAATTTTGTTTATTGTCTGTCTTCCCTTATTAAAATCTAAGGGTATAAATTCTCTGCTGTGTCTCTAGCAACTAGAACCATGCCTGACAGTAATGCTCCAAATGAATCAAGCATAAATTCTTTCCCTCCTTTATTTCTCTGCTCTGTAGATGTTCTAAGTGTCACTAGGCTGCTGGTTGGGTGATCTAGCACAGCCTCAGCCTCAGGTCTCAGTGGGTTCCAGGGACAGGTGGTAGGTCCCACATTTGCCAGGAATGGAGATCTGATGGGTACTGATTGGGGATTTGAGGGATGCTGTGTGGGCAAGGACCAAGACTGAGTCTGACAAAACTCATGGTGGGATTTCCATATCTGAGACAGGATGGTAGTGGACACTTTAAATTGGGCCTTTTCTAATTGTACCCTGAAGTCAACTGCTTCTGTCCTTTTCAAGTTGTACCCTGAAGTCAACTGCTTAGTGTGCCTGCTAGCATCAGGGCCAGCAAACCTGGTTTCATTTTTTTTTATTAATTTCAACTTTTATTTTAGATTCAAGGGGGAAATGTGCAGATTTGTTACATGGGTATATTGCACAATGCTAAGGTTTGGGGTATGATTGATCCTGTCACACAGGTACTGAGCATAGTACCAATAGTTATTGAATCCTTGCCCCACTCCCTTCCTCCTCACTCTAGTAGTCCCCAGTATCTATTGCTGTCATATTTACGTCCCTGAGTACCCAATGCTTATTTAGCTCACACTTGTGGGAATTTGTGATATTTGTTGTTTTTATTCCTGTGTTAATTTGCTTAGGATAATGGCCTCCAGCTATGTCTATGTTGCTGCAAAGGACATTCAGTCTTTTTATGGCTGTATAGTATACCATGGTGTATGTGTACCACATTTTTATTATCCAGTACACCATTGCTGGGCACCTAGGTTGATTCCATGTCTTTACTATTGTGAATAATGCTGTGATGAACATATGAATGCATGTGTCTTTTTGGTAGAATGATTTATTTTTCTTTGGGGATATACCCAATAATGGGATTGCTAGGTCAAATGGTAATTCACTTTTAAGTTCTTTGAAAGACCACCAAACTGCTTTCCACCGTGGCTGAATTAATTTACATTCCTACCAACAGAGTGTGAGCATTCCCTTATTTTCTCAGCCTCGCTGACATTTGTTGTTTTTGACTTTTTACTAACAGCCACTCTGACTGGTGTGAGATGGTATCGTATTATGGCTTTAATTCGCATTTATCTAATGATTAGTGATGTTGTATCAGTCCATTTTCATACTGCTATAAACAACTGCCTAAGACTGGGTAATTTATAAAGGAAAGAGGTTTAATTGACTCACAGTTCAGCATGGCTGGGGATGCCCCAGGAAACTTACAATCATGATGGAAGGCAAAGGGGAAGCAAGGCATCTTCTTCAAAAGGCAGTAGAAAGGAGAAGTGCTGAGTGAAGGGGGAGGAGCCCTTTATAAAGCCATCAGATTTCATGAGAACTCACTGTCACGAGAACAGCATGGGGGAAACCACCCCCATGATTCAATTATCTCCACGTGTTCTCTCCCTTGACGTGTGGGGATTATAGGGATTACAATTCAAGATGAGATTTGGGTAGGGACACAAAGCCCAACCATATCAGATGTGGACCATTTTTTCATGCTTGTTGGCCACTTGTATGTCTTCCTTTGAGAAGTGTCTGTTCATGTCTTTCTGAATGGGGTTATTTGGTTTTTGTTTGTTCAATTGTTTAAGTTCCTTATAGATTCTGGATATTAGACCTTTGTCAAATGCATAGTTTGCAAATATTTTCTCCCATCCTGTAGGTTGTCTGTTTACTCTGTTGATAGTTTCTTTTGCTCTGCAGAAGGTCTTTAGTTTAATTGGGTTCCACTTGTCAATTTTTGTTTTTGTTGCAATTGGTTTTGAGGACATAGTCATAAATTCTTTCCAAGGCCAATGTTCAGAATGATATTTCCTAGGTCTTTTTCTAGAATCCTTATAGTTTGAAGTCTTATATTTAAATCTTTAATCAATCTTGAGTTAATTTTTGTATATGGTGAGAGGTAGGAGTCCAGTTTCATTCTTCTGCATATGGCTAGCCAGCTATCCAAGCACCATTTACTGAATAGGAAGTCTTTTACCCGTTGCTTATTTTTGTCAGCTTTGTCAAAGAACAGATGGCTGTAGATGGTGGCTTTATTTCTGAGTTCCCTAATCTTTTTCATTGATTTATGCATCTGTTTTTGTACCAATACCATGCTGTTTTAGTTACTGTTGCCTAACCTTGTAGTATAGTTTGAAATCAGGTAATATGATATCTCTGGCTTTATTAGTTTTGCTTTGCTTTGGCCAGTCAGGCTTTTTGGGGATTCCATATGAATTTTAGAACAGCTTTTTTCTACTTCTGTGAGTAATGACCTTGGTAGTTTGATAGAAATAGCATTGAATCTGTAGATTGCTTTGGGCAGTGTGGCTACTTTAATAGCCACGAGCAAGGAATGAGTAAGAAATGTTTCTCATTTGTTTGTGTCAACTATGATTTATTTTAGTAGCATTTTGTACTTCTCCTTGTAGAACTCTTTCACTTCTTTGGTTAGATGTATTCCTAGGTATTTTAGGGTTTTTTTTTTGGCTACTGTAAATGAAATTACATTCTCAATTTGTCTCTCAGTTTGAATATTATTGGTGTATAGAAATGCTACCAATTTTGTACATTGATTTTGTATCCTGAAACTTTACTGAAGTTGTTTATAAGTTCCAGAGCCCTTTTGGCAGAATCTTTAGGGTTTTCTAGGTGTAGAATCATATCATCAGCAAAGAGAGATAGCTTGACTTCTTCTTTTACTATTTGGATGTCTTTTTTTTTTTTATCTTACCTGATTGTTCTGGCTAGCACTTCTGGTGCTATTTTGAATAGCAGTGAGGAGAGTAGGCATCTTTGTCATGTTCTTTTTCTCAAGGGAAATGCTTCCAGTTTTTTCCCATTCAGTATGATATTGACTGTGGGTTTGTGATAGATGGCTCTTATTATTTTGAGGCATGTTCCTTCAATGCCTAGTTTGTTAAGGGCTTTTACGATTAAAGGATGTTAGCTTTTATCAAAAGCTTTCTCCATGTCTATTGAGATGATCATACGGCTTTTGTTTTTAATTCTGTTTATATGGTGAATCACATTTATTGATTTGCACAGCTGAACCAACCTTGCATCCCACGAATGAAGCCTACTTGATCATTGTGAATTAGTTTTTTGATGTGCTGTTAGATTTGGTTTTGTTGGATTTGGTTAAAGTTATTTTTGTCTATGTTCATCAGGGACATTGGCCTGTAGTTTTCTTTTTTTCATTGTGTCTTTGCCAGGTTTTGGTATCAGGGTGATGACGGCTTCACAGAATGAGTTAGGGAGGCATCCTCCTCCTTGTTTTCTTGGAATAGTTTCAGTAGAATTGGTACCACCTCTTCTTTGTACATCTGGCAGAATTCACCCAACTGTGAATCCATCTGGTCTGGGGCTTTTTTTGTGACTGATTCAATTTTGGAACTTCACATTGATCTGTCCAGTGTTTCAACTTCTTCCTGATTCAATCTTGGGGCCTTGTGTGTTTCCAGAAATTAATCCATTTCCTCTAAATTTTCTAGTTTGTGTGCACAGAGGTGTTCATAATAGTCTCTGAGAGTCTTTTGTATTTCTCTGCGAAATACAATTTCTTGTCTTTTAGAATGCTGAAAATAGGCCACCAGCCTATCTTGGTTGGTAAGGTTTATACTGAGAAGTCTGCTGTTAGCATGATAGGGTTCCCTTTGTATGTGATCTGATCTCTGTCTTTAGCTGCCTTTAACATTTTTTTTTCTTTAATATTGACCTTGGACAGTGTAGTGACTTAATTTCTTTGTTATGTTCATTTTGAATAGTTTGTCACAGATGTTCTCTGGATTTCTTATATCCAGATGTCTACCTCTCTAGCAAGATTAGGAAAATTTTCTTGAATTATTTCCTCAAATATGTTTTCCAGGTTGTTTACTTTTTCTCTTGTCTCTCAGGAATGCCAACAATGCATAGGTTTGGTCACTTGACATAATTCTATATTTCTCAAAGACTATCTTTAAAAAATTCTTTTTAACAAAATTTTTGTGTAAGTGGGTTAGTTCAAAAGACCAGTCTTCAAACTCTGAAATTCTTTCTTCTGCTTGGTGCAGTCTATTGATAAAACTTTCAGTTGTATTTTGAAATTCCCTAAGTGAGTTTTTCAATTCCAGAAGCTCTGACTGATTTATTTTTAGGATGTTTTATCTCTTCTTTCATTTCCCAGATTACTTTAGAAGTTTCCTTGTGCTGATTTTTTTTTTTTTTTTTTTAGATGGAGTCTTTCTTTGTCACCCAGGCTGGAGTACAGTGGTGTGATCTTGGCTCACTGGTACCTCCGCTTCCCAGCTCAAGTGATTCTCCTGCCACAGCCTCCCAAGTAGCTGGGACTACACACGTGCGCCACCACACCCAGCTAATTTTTTGTATTTTTAGTAGAAACAGGGTTTCACCATGTTGGCCAGACTGGTCTTGAACTCCTGACCTCAAGTGATCCTGCTGCCTTGGCCTCTCAAAGTCTTGGGATTACAGGCATGAGCCACTGCACCTGGCCTGTGTTGATTTTCAACCTTGTCTTGGATCTTATTGAGCTTCCTTGCAATTCATGCTTTGAATTCTTTATCTGTAATTTCTGGGTTTCCATCTGGGTTAGGGACCATTGCTGGAGAGCTACTGTGATCTTTTGATGTTGTCACATTCAGATTTTTCATGGTTCCAGAATTCTTGCTCTGATTCCTTCTCATCTGGAAGTGCTGGCACTTCTAATTTTTGTAATTATTTTTGTGTGGGTAGGATTTTTGTTTTTATTTCTTTCCCTATAAAATTATTGCCTTTTCTTCTTTTTCTTTCCCTTCCCCTCTTCCTACACTCTCTAGATATTACACGGGGCTGTGCAGTTAAACAGACAAGCCAGTAGATGTCACTTATGTGTAAGAGCTGGTTGTGGCCAACATGGCTGGGTATATACCCGATCCTTGTTTACTGAGAGGAGCTCTTTGTTGCCTCAGGCAATGGGCTCATTTATGGAATGCACAGTGGTCTGAGCTCTCTTCTCAGCTCCAGGGAATGGAGGGGTGGGGCAAGATGGGTGGAGCCGAACTTGGAAGGCCCAGTTACACGTCCCCTGATGGCAAGCATAAGCACCAGTGCCAAAGGAGAATCCAGTGGGCTGCCACCAAGTTTCTAGAGGTGTGCCTAGGCATGGAGCTAGGAAACCTCCTCAGCCCCAAGTTCTCTGGATGGGGATGGGTGTCAGCCTAAACTCCTAATCCAGGAGAGTGGTGCTCCAGGGTCCTGAAGATCTCCCTGGCCATGAAGCAGAGAAAAAGTCCCCTGCACCAAGATCTCTGTACAGGAGGGGTGGGGTGACTTCAGCTGCTGAACCAAGCAAGAAGGTGATTTGAATGTCTGGAGATCTGCTTGCAGTGGAGGGGGCCCTACTGTACCACAGTCTATGCACAGGAAGGGTGGGGGTGGCTCAGGCTGCTGAACCAAGAGAGCAGGTGCTCCAAATGCCTGAAGATATGCCTAGGGGTGAAGCAGGGAGAGCCACCTGCACCAGGATCTCTGCACAGGAAGAAAGGGCCAATTAGACTTCTAGTCCATGCTAACAGGTGCTCCAAATGCCTGCAGAGTTGCCTACATGTGGAGCAGAGAGGGCCCTATGAAACTTGGTTTCATTTTGTCATTGGCAGCTGCTATGGTTTGGGTAGGATTTGTTTGTTCCCAGCAAAACTCATGTTGAAATTTGGTCCTTGTCTTGCGGGGTTGGGAAGTAAGCCTGTGGGAAGTACTTGGTCATGGAGGCAGAGCCCTCATGCATGGCTTGGTACCCTTTTGTTAGTTAGTAAATTCTTTGTCTGGCCAGACTAGGTTCATTGCTGAGAATGGATTTCTTCCCTTGAGAATAGGTTGTGGTAAAGCCAAGATGCCATTGGGCTCTGACTTTTCATAATTCCCCTTTGACCTTCTCTACCATGTTTGGACCTACCATGTGGCTCTCACCAGAGCAGATGCTAATGCTATGCTTCTTGTACTTCCCAGCCTGCAGAACCATGAGCTAAATGAACCCCTTTTCTTTGTAAATTACTGGGTCTCAGATATCCTGTTACAGCAACACAAAACAGACTAAGTGAGCAGCACAGCCACCCTTTGTGATTCAGGGGGCAGATTCTCACCTTCAGCAAATCAGTTTGGGGATGCCTGCAGGAGCTGTCAACAAGGAAGACAAAGAATGTCAACAAGGAAGACAAGGAAGACAAAGACAAAGATATCTCGGGTTCCATCCTTTCCATTTTAGCTAGAAAAAAAAAGAGAGAAGAAGATGTATGGTGAGATACAGTTGCCCCATATGGGTCTTTTAAGAAAGAAGGGAAGTCTGATTCAGTGAAAGTCCCACAGTAATTCTGAAAGGCTAGGCCAAGTGCTGGCTTCTGTCACAAGTGTCCTGACAGCTACCCCAGTCTCTACCCAAGTTTTGGTAACATTTTTCATATTTCAGATGTTTTTACAAATCCCCATTACTCAACAGTGATTGATTCCTAGTTTTATTTTAGTTGAATTAAAAACGAGTCATTGGGCTGGGAGCAGTGGCTCATGCCTGTAATCCCAGCACTTTGGGAGGCCGAGACAGGTGAATCATCTGAGGTCAGGAGTTTGAGACCAGCCTGGCCAATGTGGTGAAACCCCATCTCTACTAAAAAAACAATTAGCCAGGCATGGTGGCAGGCAGCTGCAATCCCAGCTACTCAAGAGACTGAGGCAGGAGAATTGCTTGAACCCGGGAGGCAGAGGTTGCAGTGAGCTGAGATGGCATCATTGCACTCCAGCCTGGGAGACAAGAGCGAGACTTCTTTTAAAAAAAAAAAAGAGTGATTTTGTACTATAGGAGAAAAATTCATTTGTTGTTAAAAGAGGTACATTTTGAATCTCCATGGGCACCAAGAATAAAATCACATATTTTCAAAATGCAGACACTTTGATGTTCTTAATGGTTTACAAACATTTTCAGCCTGAAATAATTACTTAATTTTTTTCAAATTTTAAGTAAATTTTTTATTGAAGTATGACATGCAATCAGAAATGAGCACAACTCATAAATGTATAGCTTGTGAATTTTCATGAAGTGAACACATTTGTGTTTCACTGTCTGATCAAGAAACAGAACATGACCAGCCACTGGAACTCCTTGAAACTCCTTTCAATTGCTCCCCACCCCCCATTATCACCATCACCACCCGACAATGGTAGTAGCTTTGCCTGTTTTTGAAATTTACATGAATAGAGTCATATAATATGTCCTCTTTTGTGTCTGGACTCTTTTGCTCAATAGTATATTTGTGAAGATAAAGTTGTGGACCAAGGGCAAGGGAGGATAGGCATTTAATTCAGAAGACTGCTAGACATGGGGTCCAGACAGGCAATGACCTTGGCCCTGCAGCAGTGCCACCAGGGTGGTGAGAAAGACTGGAGCAGGGAGGATAGGAAGAAGTTGGTTAACTCGCACAAAGTTACAATTAGAGAGGAGGGATAAGTTCTGTTGCACATTCAGATGACTATGGTTAAGAGTAAATTATTGTATATTACAAAATAGCTAGAAGAGACACTTTTGGATGTCCTTACCACTAAGAAAGGATAAATTCACAAGGTAATGGATATGCTAAATGCCAATTTGATCATTATACAACATAGATGTATGGAAATATCAAATTGTATCCCATAACTATGTACAGTTACAATGTATTGATTTAAAAAAAATTAAGAAGAAAGACTAGAGTGAGGCCTACCAGATTTGGACTTTACTAAGTTCCACACTTTGATACTCCTGATATAGAATTCCCACCCCCACTCCCCGGGGTCATTTCGACTGTATTTGGAGGTACACTGACAGCACTCACTGAAGGAGTTATTACAAGTGTAGAGAGAAAAATCAAGGATGACTCTTCAGGTCTTTGTGTTTTTTTTTGAGACAGAGTCTCACTCTGTAGCCCAGACTGGAGTGCAGTGGCTTGATCTCGGCTCACTACAAGCTCCGCCTCCCGGGTTCACGCCATTCTCCTGCCTCAGCTTCCTGAGTAGCTGGGACTACAGGCGCCCACCACCACCCCTAGCTATTTTTTTGTAGTTTTAGTAGAGACGGGGTTTCACCGTGTTAGTCAGGATGGTCTCGATTTCCTGACCTTGTGATCCACCCGCCTCGGCCTCCCAAGGTGCTGGGATTACAGGCGTGAGCCACTGCGCCCTGCCGAGAAACACGTTTTTAAGGGGTGCTAAACAAATGCTTTGTTTTGGACAAGGTAAATTTGAGATGTTTCTTAAACAAAGTCCAAGTGGATCTGGAGCTCTGGAGTATAGTCAAAGCCTGAGTTAAAAATGCTAGGAATTCCTAGCATGAGGTTGGCTTTTAACTCTATGGAGGGGCACGGTGAGACTACAGGGTGAAATGAACATCATGTGGCATCTCAGAGGAAAATCCCCTCTTTTTCCCCATCTCTTCCTCTACAACCTACACTCACCTCGGGATGTGATTCACTCAGACTCTAGGCCCACGTCCTCCCCTTGGTCCCCTGCCTCTTCAGTCTTTCTCCTCCCCTCACCCTTCCCCTCAGTTGGTGTTACAAAAGTTCAAGTAACCGGGGAAGAGAGAATTTTCCTGAGAAAGGAAAAAGGTGGCAAAGGTAGGTAGGGAGGTGGTGGGGCTGGTTCTTGGAAAATTCTCTTTGACTGTAAAAGGGGAAACAAAAGCAGCACACAATCCAGTTAGTACCAGTGCACATACTAATACTTTTTGACCTGTCACACTTTTATTGTGGTTGTTTCTGATGAGCTGCCCCTGGAATTTTCTTGAAAGCAAGAAAAATTCCTATGTTCCTAGGGAATTCCACCATTACGTTAAACCAGAGAGAGCTTAACAAAATATATTTGTTGGATAAATTGCCTTTTCATCAAAAGTACTAAATTACCTGTGTATTTATTCAATATTTAATAATTCAACAGCAGTGGAGTAAATGTTTACTGAGCCAGTACAGTATATTTGTGGATGTGTGCACATGCGTGTGTGTGTGCGTGACTTGAACACTCATAAGTAGACTCCTACATTGTGGAAGCAATGATATTTGGGAGTAGAAGAAGAATCCTGTCTGATTAAACCATCTCTTCATTGTTTAAGTGTTGGCACCCTTTACTGGTAAGTACTTGTTTTTCAATAACAAGGATGGGATGTTGGAATGAAGCTCTGGCAATCCCTGGTAATGAAACTGAAGAGCAAACGTGGCTTCCCCCTCAGATATTTTTGGCAATTAATTCACTTATATCCAACCTCTAACAGATGTAGCACTTGGGGGGAAAGAATAACTTCCTTCGTGCCTAGATTCCTTATCTTCTCATAATTAAATCATAAACAAAATAAAAGATGAAATGAAATATACATCATTGCCTTAAGAAGAAATAGAAATGCAAATGAAACGGCACAATCTGTGGATTGACAGACTCACCAGGAGTTCGCATCTGGGACTTGGCTGGCTTCCAGAGTATTTGCTTGTTCATTTCCTTACCCTCTCCTCCCTCCTCTTTCAGTCTCATTGCTTTGCCCTGACTTGAGTCCCTCTGCTCTTTCTTATCTTGCCCTGGATGGCTATTTCTCTTTCTTTTGTACGATGAGTATTTTCACATTTCCTTAGGACAGTACTGCAAAATAAGGTCAGGTTATAAAAAGAAATTATATATTCTGCTGGCAAAATAACAAATTGACAAGTCAACGAGGGCCTAGGCAAATTGATTTTTGAAAAAAACGATATGGACAATGTAGTACCTTTCTTTTAGGAAACACTACACTGCATGTTCTTCACTTTGGGGACTATTTAGAGACCCAAAGACATATGATAGTTTGAAATAGGATAGGTTTTACTCACAGCTGGGGACCAAGTGCCACAGGCTCTAAAATAAGTTTTCTACTTCCTCTACCTCAGTGACTAAAATTTCTACTTGAGGACAATATTAGTAATGCTGTATACTTCATTGGTGTTGCTGATTCTATTATTATAAATATAGTTTTAAACTACACATTTGTATGTCTTTGTTCGGCTCACTACTGCTCTTTTTTTTTGAGATGGGGTCTTGCTCTGTTGCCCAGGCTGGAGTGCAGTGGTGTGATCTTGGCTCACTGCAACCTCCGCCTCCTGGTTCAAGCAATTCTCCTGTCTCAGCCTCCCGAGTAACTGGGATTACAGGCACGTGCCACCACACTTGATACATTTTTGTATTTTTAGTAGAGATGGGGTTTTGCCATATTGGCCGGTCTGGTTTCGAACTCCTGACCTCAGGTGATCCGACCACCTCTTCCTCCCAAAGTGCTGGGATTACAGGCTTGAGCCACCGCACCCAGCCTCCACTACTGCTTTGAAGTGCCCTCCTTTTGTGCCACACACTGAACTAAAGCACGATGACACTATCTTTCCTGGTTCTCATAAAACCCTGGGAGGAAGGCATTGCTATGCCTGTTTAACAGATGAGGCGTCTGAGTATTGGAGAAAACTCATCTAACTCTTCTTATGTGTAGCAGAGCTAGGAGTTCTGATTGGACCCTCCTGGCATTCTAGCCCAGTTGAGGTCTGACTATTTTAGTGATTTGTTGGGGGATCCTCCTAAGCATAGGTGTATGCTTGCCAAAATAGCCCTCTGTGAGCCTTGGCTTATTCATCCGACTAGCTTTATTAGAGAACCGGATCTCAAGGAGGTGGGTGGGAGGTAGGTGAGAACTCTGGGAGATGGAAAGGGAGAAGGAACAGAAGCAGGCTCTGCAGGGAGGGCCAAATCCGTGCCCTGGCTGGTCACAATGCACCCAGCCCCTCCTAGCATGTAGATGGGAGTGGAAGGAGAGGAAACTGATCCAGCTTCGCTGGACACTGGCCTGGGATGAACAATTAGCCTTCTTCCAAACACGGTGACAGAGACAGACACTGCCAGGGTTCCTCGCCAGACCTCAGAAAACCCACATCCCTTGAACGTCACTGGCTTCAGCCCTCGAGTCTAGTTAGAACAAGGCGATGTTGTCATGGCTGACTTCTGGGCCCCCTGTGCTTTTGCTGGGAAGCACCCACTGCCAGTGTGTGGGTATGTGAGGTGGGGAGTGGCGGCCACAGGGGCAACACATTGGCAAGGCTCACAGCAGGGAGTTGGTTATTGGCTCAGTGCTGGCCTGGTCTGCAGTTGCCTCTCTTTCAGAGACCCCTAAATGTGAGAGGGGATGACCCAGCATCCCTGCTTCTCATCCTTCTTCCTCCTGCAACGCTCCCATGCCCATGAATTCTGATGTTTTTCCTTGTCAGAATTTGCTTGTGGGATCTTCGGACTAAAAAAAACCTTTGAGCTTTATTTTACCCAAAGGTTTTCTCTCCATCCCTTCCTTCTTTCTTTCCTTCCCCACTTCCTTCCTTCCTTCTTTCCTTCCTTCCTATTCTTTCCTTCTTGCTCTCTCTTTCCCATGTTAAATAAATTAACTGGGAGGCCATTAGTCTGAGATAGCCTCAGTACCTCAGGTTCTTACTTAAGAAAACCTTAGCCCAAACTTAATGTAAAACTAAAAGGAAACTTAAGCTTAACGAATCAGAAAATCCACCAACTAACCTCTAACTAGGACTTTCCACTACACCTCATAAAAGTTTCCCCTCTTGCCCCCTAGGTGAAATGTCAAACTGCTTCCTGTCTGGTGCTGACTGAATTACGAATCACTGAATGCTCAAATAAACTCATTAAAGTTTTATTGTACCTAAGTGTGTCTTTTAACATCTGCATATTTTATTATAAGATCTGTCTCCTGGCTGTGTGGTGGCTCACGCCTGTAATCCCAGCACTTTGGGACACCAAGGCAGGAGGATCACTTGAGCTCAGGAGTTTGAGACCAGCCTGGCCAACATGGTGAAACCCTGTTCTACAAAAAAAAAAGTTAGCCGGGCAAGGTGGCTTACGCCTGTAGTCCTAGCTACTTGGGAGGCTGAGGCAGGAGGATTGCTTCAGCCCAGGAGGAGGAAGCTGCAGTGAGCAGAGATCACACCACTGCACTCCAACCTGGGTGACAGAGTCAGACCCTGTCTCAAAAAATAAAAAATCTATATCTATATCTATCTATCTATCTATCTATCTATCTATCTATCTATCTATCTATCTGTCATCTATCATCTGTCTATCTCCCGTGTAAGCCATATGCAAGTATCCTTAAAAAGAAATTTTCTCACAATGACCGTCACCTTAATATAATCTGATATGTAGTAAAATTTGAACTCCCAAAAAAAGGATTTCCCACAATGACTGTATTTCTAGAGGTTTGATTTTGTGGTGTCTGCTACAATATATAGTAATGCATAATTTTATGTCCCAGAGCACATGTGGATTTGCCTGTGACCTATCTAAGGTTGGTAGGACTGCACCCTCTTTACAAGAATAAGCTCTCTCCACCATCAAGTTCCTCATGTTAAATAAGGTGTGACTCGTAGTTAACTGTTTTTCCCATTCACATATTTATATGGTTTCTCCGTGGTAAGAATTCTCTAATGTTCAATAAGGTCAGGGTTCTGCCCAAAGGGTTTTCCATAGTGATTACATTTAAATGGTCACCCCCAGTTTATATTTTTTAAAGGTGAGAACTGAGCTCTTATAAAAGCTTTCCCACCCTGGTCGGGCACAGTGTAATCCCAGCATTTGGAGAGGCTGAGGCGGGCAGATCACTTGAGGTCAAAAGTTCAAGACCAGCCTGGCCAACGTGGCGAAACTCTGTCACTACTAAAAATATAAAAATTAGTTGGGCATGGTGGCACATGCCTGTAGTCCTAGCTGCTTGAGGAGGCTGAGGCACGAGAATCGCTTGAACCCAGGAAGCGGAGGTTGCAGTGAGCAGAGATGGTGCCACTGTGCTCCAGACTGGGCAACAGAGTGAGACTCCATCCCCCTCTCCAAAAAATAAATAAATAAATAAAGCTTTCCCACCCTCATAACTCAAGTAGGTATGTATTTTCATATGCATTTTATGGTGTGTTTTTTTTTTTTTCTGGAATGACTTTCCACACTCATTACACACATACGATTTATTCACCTTCCCAAATTTTGATGCTTTTAGTTGAGGATCTACATTTAAAATTCTTATAGAGTGCTCCTTTCAGAATGCTGAGATTTTTCTCCAACTTTTTGTTTTATATACTCTCCCTCTGGTGAGGATTTTCCTTGCCTGATTTCTACTCAGGTGGAAGCAATGCCCAAGGAAGGGGTCTTTCCTTCTCTTCCCCTTCTGCTGTCTTTCCAAGTACCCTCTATCCTCAAGGGACTCTCTGAAGGTCTTACACCCTTCTGCTGCTGCATAGGCTCACATTCTGAAGCCAATGGCTCCTTGCTGGTCTTGGTGTAGTTATCTGACACAGTGGGTAGAAAATGCTAATAACATCACAGCTTGGTTGGGTCAGTATGAGAAACTCTTCCTAGGTCTTCAGGAAAGCAAGACCCAGAGTTCTCGCAATTTAGAAATCACATTGGGGCAGTTGGAAATGCCAGTGAGACTCAGGTCTTGTGATTCTCCAGCATCTTGTCTCTGGAAAGTTCCTTCTAGGCAGGATTCAAACACAACGTCTCCTCCCAATCCTCAAACTTTAAGTCATCCCCAAACAATTTATCTCCAGTGCAGTGGCCAATTCTTGGATGAGAACCAGGTATCGCCTGGCTGAGAGGACGGCAGTCATTACTGGGAACCGAGGACTTTCTCAGAAGCCTGAGGAGGATCAGGTGCAGCATTCGTCCGAGTCCTGAAATAACTGGCTTCCTGACTACAAGGTGTAGGTGCTGGGATCGGAGGGAGCATGGATGCCCTGGGTATTTGCATTACAAGGACTCAAGCCTTAGCTGTGAGGATCAAGTTCTAACCAGGGCACTGCAGGCTAGATCCAGCAGGGGATGTTGAATTTCTTCTGGTAGCAGCACTGCTAAAATTACCTATTCCGCCTGTGTGTGCATGCCTGCTCCAAGCCACAGGTGCAAAGCTGGAGTCCTCAACTAATCAGGAATGTGAGTCCTTGACTTAGATTTTACTCTTGCTAAGATCTTGGAGATGTCATGTAATCTCATGGGTCCTCTGGGGCTAGACAACTTCTGCCTGTCTCATGGGATTGCTGGAGTGGTAACAAAAGAGGAAAAATCTGTGGAGCTGAATTTTGCAGGGGTGTATGCAGGCAAAGTGGATGCTTTTTGTAACCCTGGCCATATTCTATTTGAACCATTTAGCACTATTATCTGATGCACATTCTAGCTGTTGAGCTTTACAGGAAAATGTAGCCAGGCATGGCTGGAGATGGGAATAGATGGGCTGAAAATAGTGTACATTGTAGCTTTTGGGTAAACTTAATTGCGATAATTTCATGATGTATTTTGGTAACTTCTTAGAACAACACTAAAATGAAAAACAAAAAGTCTCTGTACAGTTGTCTCTCTCATTGGTTCCAGGTGGACATATGGCAGCCAGGAAAGAGATTGATGGAAATGGTCTCCGATGTCTGGGCAGAGCTTTTCTAGTCTTCTCTGAGAAGAACAACATTCTTGGTAGACCACAGGCCTGGCTGTAAAACCCTGTGCATGGAAAGGATGAAGAACCAGATGAGAGGATGTGTCAATAACACCCTGTATTCATTTTCTGTTGCTGCTGTAACAAATTACCACAAACTTTGTGGCTTAAAACTACACAAATTTATTCTCTTACAGTTCTAGAAGTCAGAAGTCCTCTGTCTGCTTCACTGGGCTAAAGTCAAGGGGTGATCAAGACTGGTGGTTCCTTCTAGAGGCCTGAGGGCATAATCCATTACTTTGACTCTTCCAATTGCTGGTGGCAGCCTGTATTCCTTAGCTTGTGGTCTCCTTCTTCATCTTCAAAGAGCACCACTCCAATCTCTACTTCCATGGTTACATCTTCTTTGACTCTGACCCTTCTGGGTCCCTCTTAAAAGGACCTGGTGATGACATTGGGTCCATCTGGATAATCCAAGATAACCTCCCCATCTCGAGGTCTTTACTTTAATCATATATATAAAGACCCATTTGACATATAAGGCAACATTCATAGGTTCCAGGGATTAGGACTTAGACATTTTTGTATTTGGGAAGACTACCACAAAACACACTCTGAATTTTTTTAATAGAATATAAGGATTTAATTGAATTTTACAGAATTATTTCTAAAAACAACATACCCTTTAATCACTAGCAGAAGAGCAAGAGAAAGAGCTGACTATAGATTAAGAGCAAAATGGCATCTTCAAAACATACAGAATGATTTGAGATCAATTAACTGCATTTCAGTTTCTTTTCTTTTCGTTTCTTTTCTTCTTTTTTTTTTTTTTTTTGAGACAGAGTTTCACTGTTGTTGCCCAGGCTAGAATGCAGTGGCACAATCTTGGCTCACCGCAACCTCTGCACCCCAGTTCAAGCGATTCTCCTGCTTCATCCTAACTGAGTAGCTGGGATTACAGGCATGTGCCACCACACCTGGCTAATTTTGTATTTTTAGTAGAGACAGGGTTTCTCCATGTTGGTCAGGCTGGTCTCAAACTCCTGACCTCAGGAGATCTGCCCACTTTGGCCTCCCAAAATGCTGGGATTACCGGCGTGAGCCACTGTGCCCAGCCTGCATTTCAGTTTCTTAATGACCAATTTATTTAACTTTAAATTTTTACTAAATAATATTCAACTTGTTTCATTTAATGATTCAAATGTCATTTTCCTATTTTTCAATCCTTAGTATCATTTTGCAAATTTCTTAAATGGTTTATCAGTCTTAATTTTAAGCTTCTAGCAATTAAAACTTTAAATTAAATTGTATTAAGTCAAATTAGATTAAAATAGTAAAGGCTTAAGATAAAAGGATGAAATTTCAACTGCGTATTTTCAGGTAAGCAACAGCAAATGAGATGTTTTTAAATTAAAGTTTAAAATTTGAACTCAAAACCACCTGAAAAAATTAGTTATATCTCCAAACTATTCTGTAAGAAATTATGGACATTTAAAATTTCTCACAAGAACAAATTTGAGATAAAACAAGCCAAGGAAGCAAAAAGGAAGTAAGGGTGCCCAGAAGATTGTATTATAATTATTTTCATGACCAATGCCTCAAGTTTGATATTCACCAAGTGTAAATCCAAAACTGTCATAAAAGGGTTTTGTTTTAATGGCTTAAAAAATCCTAAAAATACTGAAAAGACTGGTAAACTGATAAACTGGAAGCTACAGGATCAACAACATCACAAGTAAATATGAATTAAGTTGTTAGAAAAGTTAGATTGATAAAGGAAATTCCTAGAATATAGTGCCCCAATTTGAGAAATTGGCAGAATAATAAGAGGTATGCTAAAATGTTGGCAAAACCAAAAAGACATGAAAGAAATCAGTATAAACTGAAAATTTCTTGTAGGAAACAAACACTGATTTTTTGGTTATGGGATGATTTTTGAATTTTGAATACGTTTTGAAAACACTTAAAGACTTCTTTAAATGCTGCTACAAAGACAAAATAAAACCTCGTCAATGAAAACTGTAGAAATTCTCCAAAACTACTAAAACTGTTCCATTGGAGACAAGTCACTATATGTTTATAAATAAGATAAGCAAAGTTTTTTTTTAAATAACATGTTAAATTTGATGAATTGATGACAAATTGTTTTTTGGTAAACTGGTCTTTCAGTTGCTTGTGCTTGGGTAAGCTGCCCTGCTTCTCCTGGTGAGTGGGGTTTATAGTGAAGACGCCAGGCTACCCAGTGGCACTGAAAGAGGTGGCAAAACCAATTGTTTCTCTCTTCTCACTGCCTGGGCCCTGTTGCTGGTGAATTCAAGTTGCCTGGAGACTGTCTCACTGGGGATCTGGTGTTTTCCTACAATAAAACTTCTCACTCCAGGGTCCTCTCCCATCCGAGGCATGCGTCTAGCATATCTCTAACAGTCTGTGCATTTGTGATTTATGTGATTTCAACCAAACCTTAAGGCTCTTGGGCAGCGGCTATGCCTTATCTTTCTCTTTCCAGACCCAAACCTGGTGCCTGGCACATTATACGTGAGTAAAGGATGACTGTTTAATAAATGGATGAATGTGGGAAGGACTTTTTTAAAAATGTGTTATTTTTCCAGGAGTTTATTTCTGACCCCTTCCTTGTGAATCCAGTGCCCCTGTGCTTCCCTCTATGATGAGTGAGACGGGTCTCAATCTATTTAGAGGTTTATTTTGCCAAGGATGAGGACATGCTCGGGAAATAGAGACACAAGCCACAGTAAAATCTGTGCACTTTTTCCAGAGCGAATTTTGAGTGCTTCAATATTCAAAGGAGCAGGAGGGAAGGGAGGAAAGAAAAAAAAAAAGGGAGGGTAGATAAATGAGACAAGTGATTACATTCTTTTGCACATGAAAAGAAGGGGGTAGAAGAATAGTCAATGATGTATTCATCTGGTGCTCAGTGAATCTGCCTTTTACATAAGATAAGTAAACATAAAGGAGAGGCAGAAGTCAAAGATGTATTCCTCTAGGTGTGGGCAGGGGGATGATTTCTAGTCTTCCCTTGTCCTGCGCCCATGAAGATAAGTTGTTAATATACATGCACAGGGTGCTGGGGGCCACCTGGGGAGATATCTATTTAGGAACAAAAGGAAAGGCAGTTGTGTGTGTGTGAGACTCAGTTTCCAAGCTTAACTTTTCCTTTCAGCATAGTGAGTTTGGGGTCCTGAGATTTTATTTTTCTTTCACAATGGCAAAGATCACACCTGTTTCCTTGTTCCCCTCCACCTCACTCAAGCAGGGCAGCCCTGCTTTATGGCCCCAGACCAGCCCCAGCAGTAGCGGGGCCTCAACACACGGTGGTTGAACTAATTGTTTAGTATCTCAAATGAGCTCCTGAAGATCAGACTCAATTCTGATACCTGTTCCTTCTAATGTGACATTTCAAACTCCTTTTTTATGTAAAGATCTTCAAAGGTGACTTATTTCTATTCATCTTAGCTTATTATTTATTATCTTTTGGCTGATGGGCAGCCACTGTATTCAACAGCTTCTTTGGAACCTACGTGGTGTCACTGTCCTAAGCAACAGGAAAAACTCCACTTTGTCAAAAAAGCAGACAAACTCTATTCATGGGCATTATATTTCAGCAATTTCTTTCATTTCTATTTTCCTTCTAAAAATAACATTATTGGCCATAACTGTTCCTATATTTTTCACTTCTACTGTATTTGTACCATAAATGGGATTTCCTGACTATCCTTCATTGCCAAAACAAACACATTTTTTAAAATGTTAGTTGTTTACTTTATCCATGAATATTTAGGCATAACTTATCATTGCTTCACCTCTTTTCTCATTTCTATTTTCACAGAAACAAATTGTGTATTAACATTTTACATTCTGTTTTCTCTCTTCCCTTTTGCATTTTTCATTTAATATTTGAAAACTCTGTATTGGTTCTTGCAGTGATGAAGGGGGCATGATTTTGTCATAATAGAATCTGAAAAAGCTGCTGATGTATAACCTGAGTCACATTTAGGTAAATCAATGTGATGACTTCAGGTTTCTATAAATATTTCCTGGACATTTTCCCAAAGGCCTTTTCTAGAAATCCTTCCTTCCTGTTCCTGTAGACGGTTGTGCATAGCTCTGTTACAGCACTTCACACACAGCTGTTACTCTCTCCTTGCTTTCCTTCTTCACTAGACTTCAAGGATCTTATCACGTTTGCATTCCCAGTGCTTAGTGCACTGTAGATGTAACATCAATGTCGCTGAGGTCACGGAATGATTACAAGGTGTCATTTTCATCTCTCTGTTAGTAATAATACCAACAGCTAATGTTTAGTGTCTACATTCTTTGGACCAGGCATTAAGCTAATCTCACTACATGCACTATTTCATAATCCTCTCTTCATCTCTGTCTGTAGTGCAAATAACCTTATTATCTCTCCTTTTACCAATAAGAAAATGACTGGAGATTTAGAGAGGGGTAACTTAGCTTTCCCAAGGTTAAAAGCAATCATGACAGAGTGGGATGGAAACCCACATTTGACTCACCTGGGAGTCCATATTTTTACATTACTCTATATCATTAAGGCATTTCAGTTCACCATAACTTAAAACGGTTTAAAAAGACTTCCTCAGGCTGGGCACAGTGGCTCACACCTATAATCCCAGCACTTTGGGAGGCCGAGACAAGTGGATGACCTGAGGTCAGGAGTTCAAGACCAGCCTGGCCAACATAGCGAAACCCCATCTGTACTAAAAATACAAAAATTAGCCAGGTGTGGTGGCACGCACCTGTAATGCCTGCTACTCTGGAGACTGAGGCACAAGAATCGCTTGAACCTGGGAGGCAGAAGTTGCAGTGAGCCCAGATCGTGCCATTACACTCCAGCCTGGGTGACAGAGCAAGACTCTGTCTCAAAAAAAAAAAAAAAAAAAAAAGACTTCCTCTACTAGTATTCTTTTTATATAGGACACGGATGGCTACATCCTATGAGCATATCTCACAAGTGGGCTCAAAGCAAAGCCAGTCTAAGTAGGGAAGCATGTATAGGAAACCAGAAACAAAGGAAAATAGACAGGAAAATAAAGGGATGATCTACTTGGTGCTGGATGGGGAAATGAAAGCTAAATTTTTACCTTATCATTGTAATGTTTCTAGGTATCTACCCCTAAATGCCAGCCCTAGTGATTAAGTCCTGAAGATAAATTAAAACTCCCATCATTTTTCTAGGCAAACACTGTCCAAAGATTAAAGTAAGTTAAAGACAGAAAGAAGGCAAGAAGGCATAGAAGCCAAGCAACCATTTAAACCAGAGCATCTCCACCTTGGCACTATTGACTTTTAGGTTGTTTTATGGTTTGAATATGGTTTGATAAGGTCTTTACAGAGGTAATTGGGTTAAAATGAGATCACCAGGGTGGACCCTACTCAAAAATGACTGGTGTCCTCATAAAAAGGGGAAATTTGGACAGAGAAATAAACATAGAGGGAAGATGACTTGAAGAGACACAGGGAGAAAACAGCCACCTACAAGCCAAGAAGAAAGGTCTAGAACAAAGCCTTCCCTAGAACAGAGCCTGCAGAAGGAACCTTGTTTTTGGACTGCTAGCCTTCAGAACTCTGAGACAATAAATTTATGTTACTTAAAGCACCCATTCTGTGGTGCGTTGTTATGGCAGCCTTAACAAATTAATACAACCTAGTTAACTATTTGTGGTGGAGTCTGTCCTGTGCATTGTCAGATAGCAACACCCCCAGCCCCTGCCCACTAGATGGGGTAGCATCCTCCTGTGCCCAGTTTTGACAACTCAAAATGTCTCCACACATCTGCAGATGTCCCTCTGGGGCAACCAGACTAGACTGTCTGGCCTGGACACAGTTGTTAATCTCAGCCATTAGATCCATTGCCAATTTTACAGCACTCTCCAGGGCCTGATGTCCCAAGCAGAGCAATATACATAACTTGAAACATTTAACTCCATCTGAACAGGGACCTCTTACACATCATGATTACAATTCTAATCAACAGAAGATCTACGTAAGACAGTGAAGGGGATCATAATATGCCACCCGAAAATATATTACTTTAGCATAAGAATTATTTTGAGCTGAAGACATTTGAGAGTCAACAAATGTAGAAAGGTAGCTTCTTGGAGCTTCCTTTATCTAACTGCAAGCAGAAACTCCGGAGAAATAAGGGCTGCAATAAATGCCGTGTCCCAGGGAAGTTTTATAGCCATGAAGGAGACAAAAAGTTGGCACTGCAATGAACCTGCACAAACAAACTTACTAAGATAGCCCTTTTCTCCCACTGGTGTCCCCCATCTATTTACCATCCCACAGTTTACCACCCCTGGAAGCTCAAAACCCTTTTCCTTGTCTTGTGACATTGCCACAATTTATCATTCTTTGTTAAAAATGGTATATAAGCTTTCAGGCTATCTGCTTCTTTGGGTCTTTGCTTCTTTTCTGGGAAGATATCACATAAAATTAACATAAAATAGGCTGGGCGTGGTGGCTCACACCTGTAATATCAGCACTTTGGGAGGCTGAGGCCCGGAGATCGAGACCATCCTGGCTAAGACAGTGAAAACTCATCTCTATTGAAAATACAAAAAAAATTAGCCAGGCGCATGGTGGCGGGCACCTGTAGTCCTAGCTACAAAGGAGGCTGAGGCAGGAGAATGGCGTGAACCCGGGAGGCGGAGCTTGCAGTGAGCTGAGATTGCACCACTGCACTACAGCCTGGGCAACAAAGCAAGGCTCTGTCTCAAAAAAAAAAAAAAAAAAAAAAAAAAGAAAAGAAAAAAATTAACATAAAGTAAAGATTATATGCTTTTCTCCAGTTAATTTGTCTTTTGTCAGTCTAATTTGCAGGGCCCCAGGCAATGAAACTAAGAGGGCAGAGACAAAAAATTTTTTCATCTCCTATGATGGGAAATCCC
Source organism: Homo sapiens (assembly GCF_000001405.40). Lineage (NCBI taxonomy): Eukaryota > Metazoa > Chordata > Mammalia > Primates > Hominidae > Homo > Homo sapiens. The sequence goes on along the minus strand of NC_000012.12, from coordinate 47,381,319 downwards.
TCAGTCATACCCAAGGAAAACTAGTGGGACTTCATTTTTCTTAAATGTAAACAGTGGCTTACTCTGAAGACAAAAACAATTTGTAAATGTCACCCTTTTGCAAAAGTGCTAGTCTTACCCTTCTACAGGAGCAATTACAGAAGGAAAATAATGTTTCTGTGCTATATGAAAACACCTCATGTAAAAGCTGTGGAAGAAGGATCTAAGGACATATTCAGTTGAGAGGCAATATTCTAATAAACTATCACAAAGGCTTGATTATGTTACCATTTATTTACATGCAGGAAGGTAGTTGTAGTGAGTGGAAACAAACAACCACAGCCATATTAGTAATATAGCTAAATCCTTTTCACATCCTTTAATTCCAGAGGGATTCTAAAAGGTCACATTTTCAGAGCTTCCATAATTTTATTTTTCTCACAGCATGAACTGTTCCTGATGGCAATGCTGTAAGCCACATTCAGGTGATGAATTTTTCCTAATAGGTCAATGCATCATTTTAAACAACAGGAAGCTCTTTATCTTTCACTAATAGTTTCAGCATGTTTACAAAGTCTATATTATAAATAATTACAAATATGTAAGAAATCCTTTAATAGAGCCACCTAATAATTCCGTTCTCTCCAAGATTTACCTGACAGTACTGGGTCATAATCAATCAGGCTTTACTTGTTCTTATTTTTCTCATATTTTAAGTGTTTTTGCTTCCTTCTCTCTTCATGTACACATTTGTATATGTAGGAAAACAGCTGTTGCATGGTAAGAGTGATGCTGTCTTGAAGCAAAAGCACCATGATAACTGATGTTTGACCCCCATAGGCCAGGGTGTTCTGCAGCAAGGCCTTTAAACAATGCCTGTAGTATAAATTACCCTTCATAAAGAAGTGGTCACAAGTATCCACGAGAAAATCTGAAGGTGTGACAAGCAGCAGCACATGCTTTACCCTAAAAGCTTGCTATGTAAAGAATACTTTCTGGAGGGTGGGTGCAGGGATCCACCATCTCATGGCTGCCCAAGACATCACTTCTGTAAATCCCTATTGAATGTTTCTTTCTGTGAACTGGATTTGTCAGCCTCTTCGGTCTCAGTGTTTTTGCTTTGTCATGAGTTAGAACTGAAAATAACTAAAAACATGGAGCCTTCCAATCCCCTCCAACTGTTTGAGTTGGCAGCTCCTGGGCGTGGCCTTGGGTCTTCCAGAGGACCATCCCTTTGTTTTCTAAGAGCAAACTGAGTTTCACAAGAATGTAGGGCGACTTAAAGAAAGATATGTCTCTTTGGGCCCACCAGGATTGGACTTTGCCTCCCGAAGGAGAAGTTTATAGCTCTATCATTCTGAAAGAATTGTTTTCCAAAGCTTCGTCATTTACAGTAGAGGAATTATTAAACACCAAGATAATCTGATTTTATGTTACTCAGGTAGGAATTGCTTTACTTCACACAGTGTGAAACAAAATATGTCTGAGTTTTTATACAGGTGCTCTACAGACAGGACACTCATTCAAGGGGGTCTTGAAATGCGATAGGCATTTTTCAGGCAATGGAAGGGAAGAAGAGTTTTACAGAGAATCCAGACAACCAAACCACAGACAAGAAGGAAAGCCACAATGATGGGAGGGCCAGGTCATGGGACTCGACGGGGGGATGAGGATGGGTACTCATGGAAGAGCAGCTGCAGGCCTCAGGCTTTCTCTGACCCCCTACGTCTCATTAGTCCCATGCAGCATTTTCAATGTGAACCAGCTCTCCCTATCTAATCCTTCCTCCTGTGGAAACATTGGCTCTTCACTGTTTATCCAGCACTCTATCTGGGGGTTTGCAAGGCAGGTGTTCCTTTTTCCTCCATTTTTACAACAAAAACAAAGGAGGAACCAAGAAGTTAAGACACAACACAGAGTTTCTAAGGGAAATTCGTACACCCGTGTTTACAGCAGCATTATTCCTAATAGCCAAAGGGGAAGCAACCCACATGCCCATCAATAGATAAATGGATCAACAAAATGGGATACACAATGGAATACTGTTCAGCATTAAAAAGCAAGCAAATTCAGACATGTGCTACAACATAGATCAACCTTGAAGACATTATGCTAAGTGAAATAGTCACAAAAAGACAAATGCTGTATAATTTCTCTTACATGAGGAATCTGGAGTAGTCAAGTTCATAAAACAGGAAGTAGAATGGTGGCTGCCAGGGGCTAGAGGAGGAGGAAATTGAGGAGTTATTGTTTAATGAGTTCAGAGTATTTGTTTTGGAAAATGAAAAGGTTCTGGAGATTGACTCACAACACTACTGAACTGTACAGTCAAAAATGGTTAAGGTGGTAAGTTTTATGTTATTTGTATTTTACCACAATCAACAACTTTAACTTTTTTAAAAAGTTAAAACATTAGTACAAACACAAGTAGCTACAGTTAAAACTCTTTGAACTCCACTTTTGACTAATTGGTAAAGCTCGCTTGTACTATAAAGAAGTGAAAAAGAAAACAAAAACAACAACAAAAGGAGGAGGACAGTGACTCTCTCTTCTCCCCTTCCTCTTCAAAATATTGAAAATGAAGGTCAGTATCTGGAGACCTTCAGAATAAGACTCCTTTCTAAGAGATGGGATTATAAGATACTTTTTTTCTTCTGTTTGTGTTATTCTGTATTTTCTTAAGTTTCTATAATGATATGGATTACCTTTTTAATTGGAGGAAAAAAGTGCTGAGGCCCTACTAAAACAAAGGTGGTCCATCAACACTGAGATGCTTGGGTTAATCATAACTTAAGAATGTTTTGCAAAGGTAGAGTAGCCCTGCTGTTTCCTATATGCCACTAGCCAACCCCAGGAAGGCTCTGGCCGCATCACATGGCTGCTCTAGTTCTAGGAAGAAAAAGACACCCAAAGTTCCAAACTTGTCATCAAGTTAGAACTAGAAATCAGGCCTTGCAGTCCCCACTCCAGTGCCCTTTGACCTAGTTGACTATTTCTCTGAAAGCTGGGGTGTTTATTGTGCAACTGAAGTTATGTTTATACGCAGCTCAGCTTCATTTGCACCAAAGTTTCTCAGCCTCGACACTATGAACATTTTTGGGTGGGATAATTCTTTGTTGAAAGGGGCCGTCCCATGCATTGAAGGATATTTAGCCACATCTGTGGCCTTTCTCCATTATTTACCAGTAGCGCTCTCCCAACCCTCCAACGAAAATTGTCTCTAGACATTGTCAAATGTCCCCTGGGGGCGCAGTTATCCTAGTAGAGAACCACTGATTTACTGCTGGTGAAAATTCATATAATCAGCAAATTTTCTCTTGGACCTTTGCTTCACCAGTTTAAAGGGCTGGATTTAGAGTCTGAGGAGTTCGTGTGAAAAAGAAATCCTGATAAAAATTTCTGGCTTGTTCCCTGGCTCTCCCTGGAGCTCAGCCTTGCTCATACTGTGCTGCTGCTGAAAGTAATCTGGGTGGTCAGAGAGAGATGCTGCTGTGATCGTTTTGGCTGTTTTGTTGAACTGATCTCAGTCTCATCCTTAGCCAGACTTTCTGGTGACTCACCAGCTTTCCTGCTGCCTGTGCCCTTGCCACGATCCCTTCCAGCCGTGACGCAGTCTTTGCCCATTTCACTCTTCCCAGCTGACAGCCATGTCCTCCCCTCAGATGGCCCTGACGTCAGGAGTGGAGAGGGGCCAACCTGGCGTAGCTGTGAGGAGTGAAGCTGCACTGAACTTGCATCAGAAAACCTGGCCTTGACTCAGCCCTCTCAGTTTGCTTATCTTATTTTCAACATGTCCTACTTTGTAAGATGGTTGTGAGAACAAAATGAGACGACATACTCTGAGTGCTCAGTACCATATCTGATCAAGACACCCTTGTTGTCATTACTGTCACTGTGATTTTGAACAAGGCACTTAACTTTTCAGGGTCTCAATGTCATCATCTGAGAAAATAAGGGATTGAGTTGGGCTAACTTCTAGGGTTTCTTCAATGTCAGATTTCAAAAATTATTCATTTTTTTCCAGCTGTAAATAGAATAGTTAATAATCCCTTACAAGGTTGGGGTGCAAACAAAATATTACGGGAAACACTTTGCAAACTGTATATCATGTCAACATCAGGTGGGTTTGGCCATTTGGACGGAAGGACCTTGGGCAAGTGACACGAATATGGGGCCATGGAGTTTGATGGCCAGAATGATCGCAAAGCACAAGGGCTGCTCAGTCTACTTGTGAACATGAATCCTGGGCCAGCCAGTCAGACTCCTTCTGCCACTTTTTCTGTAAGTCTGCATAAGATGGCAGCCTTCCAGAATCCTTTATACTAGTGGGGAATCACAATTAACTACCAAAATGGGAAGGAACCGAGGAACCATGCCGTTCCTCCACAAAGAAACTAATTTTCTTATTCTCAGAGGGTTCAGGGGACCAAAGTGGAGGGGATAATACTTCTTTTTTCTTTTATTTTTATAATTTTGACTTCTATTTTAGATTCAGGGGGTACATGTGCAGGTTTGGTACCTGGAAATATTGCCTGATGCTGAGGTTTGGGGTATGATTGATCCTGTCACCCAGGTAGTCAGCATAGTACCCAATAGTTTATCAACCCTTGCCCGTCTCCCTTCCTCCCCACTCTAATAGTCCCCAGTGTCTATTGTTGCCACTTTTATGTCCACGATTACCCAACGTTTAGCTCTCACTTATAAATAAGAAAACGTGGCTTTTAGTTTCCAGTTCCTGAGTAAATTTGCTTAGGGTAATGGCCTCCAGCTGCATCCATGTCGCTGCAAAGGATATTATTTCGCTCTTTTTATGGCTGCATAGTATTCTATGATGTATGTGTACCACATTTCCTTTATCCAATGCACCGTTGCTGGGCACCTAGGTTCATTCCATGTCTTTGTTATTGTGAATAGTGCTGTAATGAACATACAAGTGCATGTGCCTTTTTGGCAGAACAATTTATTTTCTTTTGGGTATATACCTAGTAATAGGATTGCTGGGTCAGATGATAGTTCTGTCTTTAGTCCTTTGAGAAATCTCCAAACAGGGGCTGAACTAATTTACATTCCCACCAACACTGTATAAGCATTCCCTTTTTTCTGCAGCCTTGATGACATTTGATATTTTTACTTGTATTAATAGCTTTTTATTAATAGCGTTCTCACTGGTATGAGATGGTAACTCATTGTGGTTTTGATTTCATGTTCCTCTGATGATTAGTGATGTGAACCATTTTTTTCATATATTTCTTGGCCTCTTGTATGTCTTCTTTTGAGAAGTGTCTGTTAATGTCTTTTTTAATGCTGTTGTTTTTTGCTTGTTCAATGGTTTAAGTTCCTTATAGATTCTCTGCATTAGATTAGACCTTTGTTGGATGCATAGTTTGTGAATATTTTCTCCCATTCTGTAGGTTGTCTGTTTACTATGTTGATAGTTTCTTTTGCTGTGCAGAGAAGCTCTTTAGTTTGATTAGGTCTCACCTGTCATTTTTTTGGTTGTTGTTGCAATTGCTTTTGAGGATTTAGTCATAAATTCTTTCCAAAGGCCAATGTCCAGAATAGTGTTTCCTAGGTTTTCTTCTAGAATTCTTACAGTTTGAGGTCCTACATTTTAATCTTTAATCAATCTTCAGTTAATCTTTGTATATGGTGAAAAGTAGGGGTCCAGTTTCATTCTTCTGCACATGGCAGGCCAGGTATCCCAGCACCATTTATTGCATAGACAGTCTTTCCCCTTTGCTTATTTTTGTTAACTTTGCTGAAGATCAGATGGCTTTAGGTTTGTCGCTTTATTTCAGAGTTCTTCTTCTGTTCCATTGGTCTACATGTCTGTTTTTGTACCGGTACCATGCTGTTTTGGTTGCTGTAGGCTTATAGTACAGTTTAAAATTGGATAATGTGATGCCTCTGGCTTTGTTCTTTTTGCTTAGGATTTCCTTGGCTATTTGGGCTATTTTTTGGTTCCATTTAAATTTTAGAATCGTTTTTGTCTAATTCTGTGAAAGACGACATGGTGGTTTGAAAGGAATAGCACTGAATCTGTAGATTGCTTTGAGCAGTACAGTCATTTTAACAATACTGATTCTTCCAATCCATGAGCACGCAATGTTTTTCTATTTGTTTGTGTCACCTATGATTTCTTTCAGCAGTGTTTTGCACTTTGCCTTGCAGAGATCTTTCACCTCTTTGGTTAGATGTATTCCTAGGTTTTTTAGGGTCTCTTTGACTATTGTAAATGGGATTGCATTTTTTTATTAGGCTGTCAGCCTGAATGTTATTGACGTATAGAAATACTACCGGCTTTTGTACATTGATTTTGTATTTTGAAACTTTAGTGAAGTTGTTTCTCAGTTCTAAGAGGGTTTTGGTGAAGTCTTTAGGGTTTTCTAGGTGTAGAGTTATATTGTTAGTGAGAGAGATAGTTTGACTTCTTTTCCCATTTAGATGCCTTTTATTTCCTTCTCTTGCTTGCTCTGGCTAGAACTTCCAGTACTATGCTGAAGAGGAGTGGTGAGAGTGGACATCCTTATTCTCAAGGGGAATGCTTCTAGCTTTTGCCTGTTCAGTATCATATTCGCTTTGGGTTTGTCATAGATGGCTCTTGTTATTTTGAGGTATGTCCTTTCTATGCCTTGTTTATTGATGGTTTTTATTATGAAGGGATGTTGAATTTTACCAAAAGACTTTTCTGCATCTATTGAGATGATCATATGGTTTTTTTTTTAATTCTGTTTATGTGGTAAATCACATTCATTGATTTGTGTATGTTGAACCAAACTTGCATGCCAGTAATAAAGTCTACTTGATTGTGGTATATTAACTTTTTGATGTGCTGCTAGATTCCATTTGCTAGTATTTTGTTGAAGATTTTTGTGTCTCTGCTCATCCGGGGTATTGGCCTGTAGTTTTGCTTTTGTGTGTGCCTTTGCCAGATTTTAGTATCAGGGTGATGCTGGCTTTGTAGAATGAGTTAGGAAGGAGTCTCTCCTCCTTGACTTTTTCTAATAGAATTGGTATCAGCTCTTCTTTGTAAGTCTAGTAGAATTCAACTGTGAATCCATTTGGTCTGGGCTTTTTTTGGTTCATAGATTTTTTTATGACTGATTCAATTATGGAACTCAATATTGTTCTGTTCAGGGTTTTAATTTTCTCCTGATTCAATCTTGGGAGATTGTGTATTTCCAGGAATTGTTCCATTTCCTCCAGATTTTCTACTTTGTTTACATAGAGGTGTTAATAATAGTCTCTGAGGATCTTCTGTATTTCTGTGGGATTGGTTGTTATGTCACCTCTGTCTTTTCTTATTGCTCTTATTTGGACCTTCTCTTTGTCTTTGTTAATCTGACTAGCAGTATATCAATCTTGTTTACGCTGTCAAAGAGGCACCTTTTGTTTTTGTTGATTCTTTGTGTGGATTTTTGGGTCTCAATTTTGTTCAGTTCTGTTCTGCCTCCCTCTCTTTCTCCCTTCTTTACTTTTCCTCCCTCCCTCTCTTTCTCCCTTCTTTACTTTTCCTCCCTCCCTCCCCCTCTCTTTCTCTCTCTTTTTCTTTCTTTCTTCCCTCCCCTTCCCTCCCTTCTCTCTTTTTCTTTCTTCCCTCCTTTCTCTTTTTCTTTTTTCTTTCTTTTCTTTCTTTTTCTTTCTCTTTCTTTTTCTTTCTTCTTTCTTTCTTTCTTTCTTTCTTTCTTTCCTTCTTTCTTTCTTTCCTCTTTCTTTTTTCTTTCAACAGGGTCTTGCTCTGTTATCCAGGCTGGTGGGGAGTAGCATGATCATACCTCACTGCAGCCTTGAACTCCTGGGCTCAAGCAATCCTCCCACCTCAGCCTTGCAAGTAGCTGGGACTACAGGCACACACCATCATGCCTGGCTAATATTTATTTTTGTTTTTACTTTGGTAGAGATGGGGTTTTGCAGTGTTGCCCTGTGGTCTTACCACCTTGCCCAGGCTGGTCTCAAACTCCTGGACTTAATCATTTTTCCACTTTGGCCTCCCAAACTGCTGGGATTATAGGCATGAGCCAACATGCCCAGTCCTAGTTATTTCTTTTCTTGTGCTAGCTTTAGAGTTGTTTCTTCTTGTCTTTCTAGCTCCTCTAAGTGTGATGCTAGATTGTTAATTTGAGACCTCTGTACCTTTTGAGTTAGGCATTTAGGGCTATTAACTGTCTTGTTGACACTACTTTTGTTGCATCCCAGAGATTTTGGTATGTTGTGTCTCTGTTTTCATTTATTTCAAATAATTTTTTTATTCCTGCCTTAAATTCATTGTTTAGAAGCCAATCCAGTGCAAATTGTTTAATTTCCATGTAATTGTGTGGTTTTTGAAAGATCATCTTGGTATTGATTTCTGTTTTTATTCCAGTGTGGTCCAAGAATATGATTGGTATTATTTTGAAATTTTTTGAATTTATTAAGACTTGGTTTATAGTTGAGCATGTAGTTGTTCTTGGAGTGTGTTCATATGCAGATGAGAAGACTATACTCTGTTGTCAGTGGGTGGAGTATTCTATAGATGTCTATTAGGTACAATTTGGTCAAGTGTTGAATTTAAGTCCAGAATTTCTGTGTTCGCTTTCTGCCTCAGTGATCTGTCTAACACTACCAATGAGGTTTGTGGTAGTGGAGGTGATAATTCTTATAAAATAGATGATAAAGGTGATAAAGAGGTTGCCCAAAAAACTCTGAGAAGTCAAATTCTCAGCATAAGAATGAAGAGAACTGAGATAAGCTTAGAAAAATTATAATAGTTTTGATGAATCCTTAGAGTGTATTGTTCTGATTCATGATCTTCCAGCATTAGTGCCCATCAGCCTGGTAGCCCTCAGCAAGTCTGCTACTTCCCGTTAAAGCAGCAGTGGTGTGATTACTACTAACAGTATTACTAGTTTTTATTATGATGACAATGCTAGAACCCATCAGCTGCTGTGTTAAGGGCTTTATATACATCAACATTTCAAATTCTGACAACAATCTTGTGACTATCATCACTCCTATTTAATAGAACACAATGATGAAGCCCAAAGAGGTTAAACAGTGGGCCCACATTTTCCAGTACAGACTAACAGAGCTGATTTGAAGTCTTGGGGGGTGGTTGATCAAGAAAGGAAGCCACCGTATCCTACGTGACACTGGCCTTGTATGGAAGTACCCAACAGTGCTGTGAAGGCCTTCCTCCTCTCCCAGTCTCCTTCTGGACTTGCGCTTTCATCACTTAAAACTCTATTTTTTTACATTGCCAAATGCTCTTCATTCTGTCAGAGGAAGCATATTTAGCTATGATCAATCTGCTTTCATTAAATCTTTAGTGATGCTGAGGGAAACGAAAAACTACTTGAAGCAGACATCAGGGACCTGGGCATCTAAACAGGCTCTATTTCTTACTTGCTTTGTCATCTGAGGCCACATGGTTTCCCCTTCTCCCATTTTGGTTTCCTCATCGGGAAGCAGGAATAAATGTTTTCTTTGCAGTGTAGTTGTGAAGTACCATTGATTCAATGGATCTAAAAGTTCTCTGTAAAAAGTAAATTCTCATAAAAAGACAAAATATTCTTTGTTCTTGGGTTAAAAGATTATTTTTAGTTTGTTATAACCAAGTCAATACTAGTACACATCATTATTATCCTCATACATGAAAATAAGAAAAAAATCCACAGTCTCTTCATGCAGAAATAGCAGTTAACACTTTAGTGTAGATCCTCCCAGAACTTTTATTAAAATGAAAAATACTCGGCCAGGCACAGTGGCTCATGCCTGTAATCCCAGCACTTTGGGAGGCCGAGGCAGGCGGATCACAAGGTCAGGAGATCGAGCCCATCCTGGCTAACACGGTGAAACCCTGTCTCCACTAAAAATACAAAAAAATTAGCCGGGCGTGGTGGCGGTCGCCTGTAGTCCCAGCTACTCGGGAGGCTGAGGCAGGAGAATGGAGTGAACCCAGGAGATGGAGCTTGCAGTGAGCCGAGATCATGCCACCGCACAACAGCCTGGGCGACAGAGCGATACTCCATCTCAAAACAAAAAAAAAAAGAAAAATACTCTTGCTATTGTAATTATAATTTTGCAAAAATCAGTTGTTATTGATGCTGTACTGTTCTATGCTGACAAGATGGAGAAAGGAAAGAGACTGAGGGCAGTAGGTTGACCAGGTAGGAGAAGGGGCTAAAGAGGAACAGGGGTACATTTACTCAGAAGCCACCAGACTGGTAGCTAGTTGGGTAATCAGTTAAAGCAGTTAGTCAGTTAGAGCAAAGAAACATTAAAAATGGAAAACATTTTTAATATTTTACTAAAGTAAAACATATAAATATTCTTTCATTTGACAGTATTTTGAAGGGATAAGGCCTCTTTTAAGACATGTGACATCTAATAGGAGTCATGTGTAGTCATTTAAAAAGTCAGTGGTTTTCAGTCCCAATAGCTTTAAAGTAGAGCCAGAACTGAAGGACAGTTGGGGAACAATCTGAGTTCAGAATTATTCTAGATTTAACAAAATTTTCCAATTATTTTACACTTGCCTCACCTGCATGAAACTCTAAGATTGTTTTGTATTTGCTTTGTTTTCTAAGCAACTTGTCTTTACTGTTTATGGAAAGCATTCAGTTTGGATTTTGGACAACAGCAATTCTTTCCCTCACTCATATTTCATTGCTTTACATAATTACAAAAACAAGTGCAACTGGCAAAACCAGCTCGTGGACAAACATATCTGCCTCTTGGTAAACCTAAACTGTGGAAGCAGAACTACCCCAGGGACCTTAAAACCTGACTCCCGAGGAAGCAGTCACTTTGCTTTAGGCAGTGCGTGTAACGGAGAGGAAGGCAAGCATGGGAAAAGCCAGTTTTGAGGATTTCTCATACATTGCAAAAACAACTGTGTCCATCAGGACCCTTTTGCTGCAAGTAACAGAAACCCTCACAAAAGCTGGGTTTTAAAAAAAGGGGATTTATTCAGAGATAAAGCAGTCTTCATGGTTAGTCAGGCATGGTGCCTCATGCCTTTGTAATCCCAGTGCTTTGGGAGGAAGAGGAAGGTGCATCACTTGAGGCCAAGAGTTCTAGACCAGCCTTGGCAACATAGCAAGACCCTGTCTCTACAAAAAAAATTTAAAAATTAGCCCAGTGTGGTGGCATGAACCTATAGTCCTAGCTACTTGGGAAGCTGAGGAGGAAAGATCATTTGAGCCCAGAAGTGGGAGGCTGCAGTGAGATATAATCTCACCACTGCACTCCAGCCTAGGTGACAGAGCAAGACCCTGTCTCTTAAAAAAAAAAAAAAAGAAAGAAAAAAGAAAAGAAAGAAAAAGAAAAGAAAAAAAGAAAGGCTAGTTGAATCAGTAGTTTAGCAATGTTACTGGACCCCAGATTATTTCCATTGCTCCACTCTTCATCCGCAGCATCAGCTTCCTCTTATGACTGGGGCCAACAGCTGGACATCTCGTTTCCTTTTCCTCACTGGTAGGAGAGAGAACAGGTGTCCATTTGGAATTATGTCCTTCCCTTCTGTCTGACCAGTTCAAGTTGGGTCTCATACCTGCCCCTGGACAAATTAATCATCATCATCAAAGGAATGGCATCTGGTGATTGGTTTAAAATATCAGCATCCACTTCTGGAGCTGGGAATGAGTTCGGCTTCCCATTCCTGTGAATCTCATGATTCGTGTGAACACCTGAACAAAACCGGATCCTGTGAAGGAAGAAGTGGTGAGGAAAGCATGCTCAGAGAGATGGCTACTTCACATTACTGCCTCTTGCCAGGTCTGTTTCCTCAGATGCCAGGATTGTACATTCCCAAGCCATCTTGGTCAACACGGTATCATCCACCTACTTAACTAGTCTTCCTTTAATTCAGGGTCACAAATATTGATGGGTTCTCCCAGGGCCTGGAGCCCCGCCTGCACTTCCCGGGGTTATTCCCTGGCCCATCCTACAAGGAAGCATTTTATAGCTGCTCTCCCTTCAAAGCTCCAACACCTGCTCCCCCTCCCTCATAGTCTAGCTGATGTCTTCCTCTCAAACTTCACAAAGAAGCTTCAAGCTGCAGACTAGACCTTCCCTTCATCAACTGTACCCTGCAGCTGTCTCTGCCCACGTGCTCTTTCCTAGGCCTCAGTGGGGGAGTTGGCTGCTCTCTCAGGCCAACCTTACCATCTGCTAGCTCCTGGACCCCAGCCCCCCTCACCTTCTCAGGACCTTTTCAGGCTGGCTCTGCATCCAGCCCCTCTCTCTCTAACTCCAAAGGCATACAAAGGTGCCGGAATCTTGCATCTTAAAAACCAAGTCAACCAAAGCCAAAAAAAACTCTTCCCTGACCTTCTCCCTCCTGTTACAATCTTGTTTTTTTCCATACAACATGTCTTTAAAGTGCTGTTTAGAGGCACTGTCTCCACTTTCTCAGTTCTCGTTCTCTCAATTCACTGTCATTGAGCTGTTGAACCCATCACTCCCCAAAACGGTTCTAATCAATGTGATTAATGACTTATTTTGCCAAATCTGGTCACTTGTTGCTTTTCTGACCCTATCCTTTAGCACTTTCTTCAACCTCTCACTTTCTCCTCCAGCTTCTATAGCACACCCTCTCCTAGGTGGATTTCCTTCCCCAATCACTTGCTGTTCCTCCATCTCCTCTCTTTGAGGACGGCCAAGATTGATTTGGGACCTTATTCTTTTCCCCTTCCCTCCCCTCCACTTCTCTTTCTTTTCCTCTCCCCATCCTCTTTCAATATTTACGTGGCCCAGCTTATCTGTTCAACTCCCTGTTTAAAGTCATTCCTTGCTGATGATTGGCAGGTTTACAGTTCCACTCCTGATCTGTCCACTAAGCTTCAGGCTTGTAGAGGCAGCGGGTTGCCTCTATACTCTGCTTAAAAGTCTAATAGCATCTCCACCTCATATGCCCTAAACAGAACTTTGGGTTCCTTCCACCTCTGTCCCTCAAGCTCACTTCTCCTCTAGTCTCTTTATCAACTTAGGAAATGACACCACCATCTACTACACTGTGGCTCCAGTCTCACACAGGAATCACTCTTGATTCCTCTTGTCCCGTGCTACTCCCTTCATATACTCCATCAGTGAGTGCTGTCATCTTCCCCAAGACAGCCTCAATTCATCCTCTTTTCTTTATCTCTAGCTCTAAGCTGCAATCATCTCACGGAAATACTGTGAGAACCTGGTACAATTTCTATTCTGCACAGAGACCAGAGTAATCCACAAATATTAAGTCAGATCATCTCACTCCCTTTTGTAAAAACCCTTTTGTGGCTTCCTGTTGTGGGCAGAACTAAATCAAGACAGCTTATCATGGCCTAAGAGGACTTACCGGAGCTGGTCATGACCCCTTCTGACCTCATTTGGTGAAATTGGGCCCTGGGCACACTGACCCTCTGCCTGCGAAAACGCAGGCTCATGCCCACCCAGTGTCTTTCAAGTTTCTCTGCTCCTGATTTTTACAAGATTTTATCTTTCTCATTATTAAGTTCTCAGCCTAAAGGTCACGTCCTCAGAGGCCTTTCCTGACCACCCAGTCTAAATTAGCTCCTTGCCCTCATCACTCCCTACTCTTAATTTTGTTCTACTTTTGTTCTAGAACTTAATGCTATTTTGATTATCTTCCCATCCATTTCTAGACTGTAACCACCGGGGAGGCAGAATACTTTATCTTGTTTACTATTGTTAAATGAAATTTATGGGAGACTATTGTTTTGGACTGGGCTCCTGAACTAGGCCCAGCAGACCAGAATGGAGTCATTCATGTTAAATGCCACATAATCAAACTGAACTCTGAAATAGGCCAGCTTTCTAATAAAAAAAAAAATAGAGAGCGAATGAGATTCACAGCAACTAATCAAAAGGGGAGCAGCTTACCTTAAGATGGTATGACCAGGAAGTCCCTTCTGCTTTAACACTATCAGGGTACTAACCTTGAAACAAAGCATCTGCTTTTTGTTCTCTGTTTCTGTTTTCTTCAGCCCTTTTCTGCCTATAAAGCCAGGCTCGTCTTCTCAGCTCATCGGAAAACCCATTTTATTTTATAGGATGAGATGTTGCCTGATTCTAGAATTATTAATAAAAGCCAATTAGATCTTTATACTAAATTTGTTGTAATTTTGTTTTTTGACACTATGGTGGTCTCAGCACCTAGAACAATAATATAAGCAAATAGCAATAATAATTTAATGAATAATTCTGTTTGCCTGACTTACATCCCACTTTCAGAAAGGAATAACCTCCTGGGAGTAGTCAGCAGAGGTCCCAGGACAAGTAGCCATGGGAGTTGCCTAATCTTCTTTCACTCACCGCTTAAATCATTTAGCAAATATTAATTGTCAGGTTATGGGCTAAATACTGGAGGAACCCAGATAAAGAAATCACAGTTTTTGTCATTTCAAGAACTCACAGACTGGTGGGTGGTGGCAGACTAAGAGGGTAGAAAATTACAGTGTTGCCGTTTGATAAATACAATAGGAGAGGGAAGCACAGGCTCCTATTGCAGCTCACAGAAGGAGCACCTAACTCACATGAAGTCAAGGAAAGCTTCCTGGAAGAAGTGATACTTCAAGCAAGTCTTAAGGGTAAGTAGAAGCAGTGGGTGAAGAAGGGGTGGGAAGTGGGAAGGAACGCTCTAGGGAAGGGAGAAACAGAGGCACAGAGGGTGGGCAGCTGCAGGGGAAGTGGAAGGTGACCAGGAGGTAGCATGGAAACAATGTGGACAGCTCAGTAGAGACCATATCATGAACAGCCTTGTTACAACAACAAAAATAAGAACAGTGTCTAACGTTTACTGAGGACTTACCATGTAACAGGCACTGAGTTAAGCATATCACCTGTGTTTTCTCAGTTAATCCCTGCTACAACCCCAAGTAGGCTTTATTACTATGCACATTTTATTGAAGGGGAATGTGAAGATGTTACTGGAAAGGCATCTCGGTCCAGAACCCAAGAGAGAGTTGTTGGATCTCATGCAAGGAAGAATTCCAGGCGTGTCCACAGAGCAAAGTGAAAGCAAGTTTATTAGGAAAGTAAAGGAGTAAAAGAATGGCTACTCCATAGGCAGAGCAACCCTGAGGGATGCTGGTTGCCTGTTTTTATGGTTATTTCTTGATTATATGCTAAACAAAGGGTGGATTATTCATGAGTTTTCCAGGAAAGAAGTAGGCAGTTCTAGGAACAGAGGGTTGCTCCCTTTTTAGATGCTATAGGGTAACTTCCTGACTTTGCCATGGCATTTGTAAACTGTCATGGCGCTGGTGGCAGTGTAGCAGTGAGGATGACCACAGGTCACTCTCATTGTCATCTTGGTTTGGGTGGGTTTTGTCTGGCTTCTTTACTGCAACCTGTTTTATCAGCAAGGTCTTTACGACCTTGTGTATCTTGTGCCGACCTCCTATCTCTTCCTGTGGCTTAGAATGCCTTAACCTCTTGGTAATGCAGCCCAGCAGGTCTCAGCCTTATTTTACCCAGTCCCTATTCAAGATGGAGTCCTCTGGTTCAAACGCCTCTGGCAGAGCCACTTTACTGAGGACACATAGTAAGGGGTGGAGTCAGCAGTGAAGCATATTACAAGTGCTTTGAAACTCAAGCCCTGAGTCTCTTGTGTGATTTCTTAATTTCACTCTCTGATCCTTAGTTTCCTCGTTGGTAGAATGGGACTGGCCCTGGTGCCCCTGCTACATGGAGTCTGTGGGATTCAATGAGAAGATTCCTGGCCTGGCGTGGCTCATGCCTATAATCCCAGCACTTTGGGAGGCCAAGGTGGGTGGATCACTTGAGGTCAGGAGTTTGAGAGCAGCCTGGCCAACATGGTGAAATGCTGTCTCTACTAAAATACAAAAATTAGCTGGGCGTGGTGGTGCACACCTGTAATCCCAACTACTCGGGAGGCTGAGGTAATAGAATCACTTGAACCCAGGAGGCTGAGGTTGCAGTGAGCCGAGATTATGCCACCGTGCTCCAGCCTGGGCAACAAAGCAAGACTCTGCCAGAAAAAAAAAAGAGAAAAGATGCGTGTAAAAGGGCTGACTGCTGAATCCAACTTAGTCACTACTCAGTAAATGTCAGCTACTACTACTATTATTACTGAATTTCTTTTTGGAATGTTGATAGAGAACCATTACCACTTAAACCTGGGGAATTTTTCCTTGCTGTGGAAACAGGGCTTGACTTTCTAAAGATTGTGCTCCCCTCTCATGATGATTGGTGACTTCGTTTACTCATTTATAACATGTTCTGAACATCCACAACTTTGGTCCGTTTTTTTTGTATATGCAAATTTTTTGAGATATAGATTGAATGGTAGAAATGGAGAATTAATATTTGCATGAAAGGATTAATAGTTTAAAATCTTGTTTTTAACCATAAAGCAACACATTCATAAGCTGTAAAACTTACAAATGGGTATGAAATGTAAACGCCTACCTCCTTACTTACAAATCCATATTTAATGTAATTATAGCTGAAGATAATCATAGCTATTATTTCTTTTTTCTCAGATATTTGTATGTATATACATACATGTATATAAATATATGTATAAACGTGATTCTAGGAATTTTCACTTATAATGATATTGTATTCTACCTTTTTTTCCTACTTAAAACAGTTTAGTTTGGATACTTTTCATATCAAGACATAGAAATGCATTGGTTCTTTGGAACAGCTATGTAATATCCCATTTTACAGAGCCACTATAGTTTATTTAATCCTCTCTTGATGGGCATTTAAATTTTTTTTTTTTTTTTTACTATTACAAATAATAGTATCATGCTACTCCTATACAGTATATATTTGCCGCCTGGTGAAAGCGTTTCCTTGGGAAAAATTCCTGAAAGGAGAATTGCTGAGTTTAAGAGAATGTGCTTGTTAAATTTTAATAGTTATTGCCAAATTGCTTTCCAAAAAGTTGTAGCAATTTACATTTCATTAATAATACATGAGTGGTCCTGTTTCCCACACTCTTGAGTAAGATCAACATTTTACAGTAGTTCTCCTTTATCCATGGGATTATACCATGCTGCACAATTTAAAATGTATAAGTTGTTTGTTTCTGGAATTTTCCATTTAATACTTTGTTTTCTGAAGTTTTAGTTACCCTGGTCATCTGCAGTCTGAAAATACAAAATGGAAAATTCCAGACTGTGGCTGACCAGAGGTAACTGAAACCTCAGAAAGTAAAACCATAGAATGGGGTTGGGTGGGGTGGGTGCAAGCTCCAGTATTTTTGCAAAATATACAAAGTGAAAAACAGTATCTTGTTTTAACTTACATTCCTTGATTTTTTTAGATAGCTAAAAATGTTATGTGTTTATTGGCTGTTTGCTTTGTTTTTGTTGCAAACTTATTTTTCTATTGAATTGTTCAGTTTTCTGTTGCTGATTTTTTAATTGCTTTGTATATAAAAGAAATTAACCCTCTTCCTGTTATATAAATTGCAGACTTTTTTTTTCTATCCTGTGGTTTATCTCTTGACTTTACGGTATTCTAGTCTTGAAAAAGTTTTAACTTTTATATAAGTAAATTTATCAATCTTATCTTTTATGTCTGTCACTTTTCCCCAGTTAAAAATTATGAGAAAAAGATCAATGATTTTTCCAGTATTGTTATGGTTTCATATTTTACATTCAAGTTATTGATCCACATAGAATTTGTTTGGGCATAAGATACTTCTGCACTTTTTCCCCCAATGGCATGTTCATCACAACATTTCTGAATTATTCATATTCTCCCATTAACTTTAAAATACCACCTTATTTATATTTTATTTTATTTTATTTTTTTGAGACAAAGTCTTACTCTGTCACCCAGGCTGGAGTGCAGTGGCACAATCATGGCTTACTGCAGACTTGACCTCCAGGGCTCAAGTAATCCTCCCACCTCAGCCTCCCAAGCAGCTGTGACTACGGGCATGCACCAGCACACCCAGGTAATTTTTATATTTTTTGTAGAGACAGGGTTTTGCAATGTTGCTCAGGCTGGTCTCGAACTCCTGAGCTTAAGTGATACACCCACCTCAGCCTCCCAAAGTGCTGGGATTACAGGCCTGAGCCACTGCACATGGCCTTATATTAATATTAATACTTTAAGTTCTTAAAGGTATTTGGGTCTGTTTCTGGGGTCTTTATTCTCCATTAACAGCTTTCTTATTTCTTATAATTTCTCTACCTATAAAATATCTTAATATTGGATAAAACTATTTCTTCATTATTTCATTTACAGTTGTATTGGCTATTCTCACTCCTCTATTATTCTACAAGACCTTTACAACATTTTGTCAGTCTCCAAAAAAATCCTATTGATATTTTGATTGGAATTACAATTGCTTCAGGGAAAAGAAACTATATTGTTTCATTCACTCCTATCTTTCGGGTTCCCATATTAATCAGGATAGGATGGACTGTTGCAAGAATAATTAAATTTTCAAATCCCAGGGTATTATTTCAACAAAATTTTGTTTCTCACTCATGTAAATTCCTGTGCAATTGGGCCACTCTCCAGGACAGGGGTCCTCACTTTAGGGGCCCCACTGTCCAGGCTGTTTTGATCTTACAGCTCTGCTCTCTCAACATGCTGAGGACGATGGAAGAGATAACTTCCGGTCCTGTCTAGTTAGGTGGAGTGGTAAAACCAATCCTGGTCAATGGACTTTGAGTAGCAGTGATATGTCTCACTTCAGGATCAAAGCTTAGAAAAGCAGGTGTGAATTTTCCCTGTGATCTTTTCCTTTGTTGGTCAATTTCGGAGCCCATGACTTGAGATGACAGAACCAGCGACAGAAATCTTTTCAATAACTGAGCCACTTCATCACACAGGGCAGTTGCCCAGGGAACTCACCTGACTCACATCAGACCCACAGCTTTATTGTATTAAGGCCACTGAGATTCCAGGCGAAAGTTGCTACTGCAATGTGAAAAAACTTATCCTGACTGGAAAAAAAAAAAATGCTGAGGCCAGTAGTGGTAAGCTGTTGAAAAAAAATTAAAATACTGGCTTAGCAGTCAGCTGATGACAGAGAGGAAACTGATATCAGATGCTGGGAAGAAGGCAACACATTTGGTAAAGGTTTTGCTTGTGATTACCTTGCAAGACCATTCACCTATTGTACTGCTGCTATTATATATGTGGTTGCTTCTGGTTGTGTTTGGCAAAGTACTGGGAGGGAAGAGAGAGAGAGAGAGAAGCAACTCCAGAAAGAAATGACCAGTTTATAATGAATAATAAAAGGGAATAAAGATAATCCAAAAATTTGGAGTCTTATAAATTTGAAAAAACCAACTGCTTTTAGATTCAGAATCTGAAGAGTTTAAAGGCTTTGAGTAAAAAGTGCTAGGAAAAAAGAAAAAAAATATATATATATGTATATGTATACACACACACACACATAGATACATACATACATACTTGTGTGTGTATCAGTTGATTAAATGCCTCAGGGCAAAGGTTAGATCAACTTTTACAACTTGTTAAAACTTTAGAGGATTAAAATTACTTAAATCGAGGTCCTGGCCACGAAGGTGCGGGGGAGAGGCAGAGGGAGGATGTTTTGAGGACAAGAAAGCACAAGAATGAAGCAGAAATAAAAGAAGTCCCTCAAACACAATTCTAAATATGGTTATTTGCTCATGGAAATGTCTGGAAGCAGATAGATGGGGCCTCCTGGTTTTTGAGGTAGTCGTTCAGTAGTACAAAGAAACTGTAAGCCTGGTCTAAAAAGCCTGAGGCACCACCCTAATTCAGGGCAGGACGTGGAAAGCTGTGTAGCTCAATACTTCAAGTATGACCAAGGCAGATAATAGAACAGAAAGGACTTCCCAGAGGGTGGAGCCAATGAGCTCTGAGAACTGCCCTACACCCTGGGGGAATGGGCCCTGGAAGTCAAGTTTGTACCTGTGGCCGTGTCCCCGAGCAGAGTTGTTTGAACCCACATTGGGCAGTTGTCCTAAGTTTGACTAATCAGATTCTCTCAGAACTTTGTAACTGAGACTGAGATGTTCTTGTTTCTTTGAGAAGTTTGCTTGTTCTGAGGTAATAAGAACGGAGGACTTTATGGGAGTGGCCATCTTTTACCTATCAAGTGTGCTGAGAATGCTGTAGAGAAAACTGGTCTTTTCTGTAGAGAAGAGAAAAGAATACTTCTTGTGGAGAAGACATGAGAAACCATATTTATGGGGGCAAGGTGCAGGCAGTGGGGCAGGGAAGAGGGAGAGGGACACAGAGATTTGAAACATGATTCTGCCTGTTCCTGAGAGCTTTCTAGTCTCCTGGCTCCCCCAGGGTCAAGCTCCTATAAGGACCAGCTGTACTCCTATAAGTTCCAGGAGGCACCCATGTATCATTACAGTCCATCTCCTTTTCTTGTTTAAGTTTGTTTGGGTTGGTTTCTCTTTCTTAAAATCAAAAGACCCTTGACTGAGGAAGTGCCCGTATCTTATCACTGCAAAACATCTCCAGGAAGGAACCTCCCCTTCCTTCCTGCTGTGTACGTTGTGGTCACAGCACGACAGTGAGATTTCTCAGTAATCCCTGATTTCAAAGTAATTACAGGGGAAAAGGAGTAGCTGAAAAATTGGCTCATGCCTCCATCTCCATCTAGAATGCCCAGTGTTAAGGATGACCTCTTTAATAACAACACTGAGAACAGCAGCAATAATATGAAAAGAAAACATAATGATTCCTATTGTCCTTAATTTCATACTCAGGTTAAGGAGGAGGAGGAATATTTACTCTTTATTTCCTTTATCAATTCACTCTCCTGCTCTCTGGAAAGGTTTTCTACCTTCTCATTCTCCTACTTAGAGCGTCCCTTCTCTTTCCTTACTCTCAGCTGATGAACTTATTTTTTATTCCACTGAGAAAAAAAGAATAACTAGGAGATAATTTTATTATCCTTCCAGCACCAAATCTACCAAACTGCCAGCAAGGTACCCATTTACTTGGCCCTCCCTCCTGTTCCTATCAGTGCTTAAAGTTCTATCAAAGCCCAATAGAACTTCCTGAGATGATAGAAATATTCTGTACCTGTCTCTCCTCAAGGCAAAGCCGAGAGCCACACATAACTATTGAGTGATTGGAACATGGCCAGTGAAATTGAGGAACTGAATTTTACATTTTATTTAATTTCAATTAATTTAAATGCATATAGCCATATGTGGCTAGTGGCTGCTGTGTAGGACAGCTGAGGTATACAGAAGTCTTTTGAGGAGTTTTGCTATAAAGGAACAGAAAATGGGGTGGATAGTCACAGAGGGATGGGGGTCAAAGCAACAGCACTTTAAAAAAAAAGGTAAATAACATTTTAGCATGCTGGTAGGAAGGATTCATAGAACAGACAAAAAGATTACACAGGAGAGAAAGAAGGGTCAGTTGCATGTCTCAAAAGAAAGCATACACATAGCCAATAAGTGCACGAAAAATGCTCAACATCACTGATCATTAGAGAAATGAAATCAAAACCACAATGACGTACCATTTCACACCAGTCAGAATGGCTACTATTAAAAAATCAAAAAATAACAGATGCCGGTGTGATTGCAGAGAAAAGGTAATGCCTATATGCTGCTGGTAGGAATGTAAATTAGTTCAGCCACTGTAGAAAACAGATTGGAGGTTTCTCAAAGAACTCAGAACTACCATTCGATCCAGCAGTCCCATTGTTGGGTATATATCCAAAAGGAATATAAATTTTTCTACCGAAAAGACATATGCACCCATATGTTCACTGCAGCACTATTCACAATAGCAAAGACATGGAATCAACCTAGGTGCCCATCAATGATGGACTGTACAAAGAAAATGTCATACATATACACCATGGAATACTATGCAGCCATAAAAAAGAATGAGATCATGTCTTTTGCAGCAACAGGGATGCAGCTGGAGGTCACTATCCTAAGCAAATTAATGCAGGAACAGAAAACCAAATACCACACGTTCTTACTTATAAGTGGGAGCAAAACATTATGTACACATGGACACAAAGAAAAGAACAATAGACGCTGGGACCTAACTGAGTGGGGAGGATGGGAAGAGGGTGAAGGTAAAAAACCAACCTGTCATGTACTGTGCTAACTACCTGGGTGACAAAATCATTTGTACACCAAATCCCAGTGACATGCAATTTACCTGTGTAACAAACCTACACAACTACCACAGAGCCTAAAATAAAAATTGAGAAAGTAAAATAAATAAATAAATAAATAAATAATGCTTAGAAACAAACAAACAAACAAACAAAAACTAGAAGAAGAAAGAAGGCTCAATTATAAAAGGAAAGTTGATTCTAGATAGGAGCAGGCCATTGTATATAGATGCACTGTCTAATATAACAGCCACTAGCCATACGTGGCTATTTAAATGTAAATTGATTTAAATTTAATAAACCTCTAAATTTAATTCCCCACTCACACTAGTCACATTTCAAGGGGCTATCATATTGGATGTAATTTCCATCATTGAAGAAACTTCTTTTGGACAGTGTTGCTGTATACTTTCTGTCTTCATTTTATATCATCATTCCATGTTTTGAAAAAAGTTTTAAACTTTTAAATCAAATTTATATAGGTGCATAGATTAGAGAGCCAAAAAGTGCTGCAATTGACAACTTTTCATTCCTTCTCCCTATTTTTCACTTCCCAAGAAATTGTGATCAAGTCTTTTTTTTTTTTTGAGACGGAGTGTCACTCTGTCACCCAGGCTGGAGTGCAGTGGCGCAATCTCAGTTCACTGCAAGCTCCACCTCCTGGGTTCACGCTGTTCTCCCGCCTCAGCCTCCCAAGTAGCTGGGACTACAGGCGCCCGCCACTACACCCAGCTAATTTTTTTTTGTGTGTATTTTTAGTAGAGACGGGGTTTCACCGTGTTGGCCAAGATGGTCTTCATCTCCTGACCTCATGATCCGCCCGCCTCGGCCTCCCAAAGTGCTAGGATTACAGGCCTGAGCCACGGAGCCCAGCCTCGAGTCTTTTAGCTTTAAAAAAATTATGGCTATAATTCTAAATAATTTTCTTGTATTGCTTCCTCTCTATTATTTTCCAAGTTTTGGACATGATCCTGACTTCTTTAAGGAATGCGTGGATTCAGCACTCCCCACACCCCTTCCTAGTCACATCTGTACACACATGTACACTTCCAGTCCCCCATCTCCCCATAGAGTCAAAGTATTTTTATGGTTAGATCAGTATTCAGTGTTTTCATTATTATGAAAAAGTGACTACTTGCAACCAAGCCATGTGATAAATCATGGTTACTTTTTATTTAAGATCTTTCGATGTTCCCTAAAGTTAATATTCTTTTTTAAAAATTTGCTTAGCTATGTAAGCAGTTATCAGCAATTTGACCCCAGTCCTCTTCAGAAGTGTGGATGTTCTTCCCATATGTTCAAATATATCAATTTCATCTTTTTGGAGCTATGTTTTCTGGAGACTTGCTTCGATCTGCTCAGGTTGCTCTCTGAGGCCGCTGCACGGTTGGCACCCTGGAATCCCCGTCACCTACATCCTGCGATTCCCGTCCCTTCTTTCTTGAGTCGGAGCCACTGTTGGTGGGACATGTCATCCTCTTCCTTGACATACTCCTTCATCGTGCTACTGCTCCAGCAGTAACTATAAAAAGTAAATGTTTGAGGACTAGCATGTCTGAAAATGCCTTTAGCCTATCTTCACACTTAGGACTTTGTGTATATAAATTCTAAGGCAGAAATAGTTTTCTCTCAAATTATAAAAACATTGTTTTACATTAACTTCTAGTTTCCACTGTTGTTAAAAAATCCAAATCTATTCTTACTCTTGATCCTTTGTATATGACCTATTCTTTCATCTCTTTTGGCCTGATATTATGACATTTTATAATGAGACGACTTATTATGGGTCTGCTTTCATTCATTATGCTGGGTTTTTGGTAGCCTTTTTTTTTTTTTTTTTTGAGACGGAGTCTCCTTCTGTCTCCCAGGCTGCAGTGCAATGGTGCGATCTCAGCTCACTGCAACCTCTGTCTCCCGGGTTCAAGTGATTCTCCTGACTCAGCCTCGCAAGTAGCTGGGATTACAAGCACCCGCCACCACACCCAGCTAACTTTTTGTATTTTTAATAGAGACTGAGTTTCACCATGTTGGCCAGACAGGTCTGGAACTCCTGACCTCAGGCTATCCGCCCGCCTCGGCCTCCCAAAGTGCTAGGATTATAGGCATGAGCTGCTGCACCTGGCCGGTGGGCCTTTTTAATCTAGAAATTCCTGTCATTCCACTTTGGAAATTTCCTTGAATTTTTCCTTTGACTGTTTCTTCATGTATGTTCTTTTGTTGTTGTTCCCTCTTTCTGTAATTCCTATCATTGAGATGTTAGACCTCTTGGACTGATCATCTAATTTTCTTTTTTACTTTTCTCTGCTGTTTTCCTTCTCTTTGATTTTTTGCTCTACTTTCCTCAATTTACCTTCTAGTCTTTGTATTGAGATTTTTGTTTCAGCTTTCATATTTTTAACTTCCAAAAGCTTCCTTTCATTGTATTAATGTCCCTCCTGGACATTGGGTATCAAATTGCTGATACCCTGATCTGGGTATCAAATTGCTTTTTAAACAGTTCTCAGGCCCACCTACACCCCTCACTTTTGGTTGAACCTGTATTACAGATTTCTGAGCCTTTGGCGGGTTCTATGGTGACAAATTGCTCCTTGCTTTCCCCAGTGCTGACTAGGAATTCAGCTTTCATAGATCTCAGTCATTTATCCTTCCCTAGATGCTTTCCAGTTTCCAAACTGTACATGTTAGAGTGGGGCAGGGGTGTGAGTAAGTCATTACAAATTCCATTTACTGTCATTTAGTCAGGTTTCAGGGGAAGCAGAAGTAAAATCACATGTTAGATCAGCCATCTGTGACCAGAAGCTTCCCCATTCTCACTCGAATGAACTTCTAATCAAGCTTTCATCCCCTCTCTCAAATCTTCTTTTGCCACGGTGACATATGACCTTCCATTGCCCATTCTCTGGTTAATTCTGTCCTTATCTCACTTGACTTCTTACCAGCATTTGACGTAGTTGATCACTTGTTTCTGGAACCCCACACCATCCTCACTGTTTTCTCCATTTGATTCTCTCTCTCTCTCTCTCTCTTCTATTTTTAGAATGTGCTTTTTAAAATTGAGTCATAATTTACATATTGTGAAATGCATAAATTTTAAGTGTGCAGTTCAATCAGTTTTGATAAATGCATACACCCATATCCTGCTCCCCTAACAAGACAGCATTTCTATTCTTTTTCTCTTCTATTGGGGATCCTCCTCTTCTTTTTCCTGACTTTTAAATGCTGCAGTTTCCAAGGGCTCAGTCCTCGGGTCTCTTGGGCTTCTTCTCTTTTCTATCTATACTGTCTCTCAATATCCAGTCCATTGGCTTTAAACACCATCCAGACCTGTGCTGTCCAACACAGTAGCCACTAGCCACATGGCTATTAAGTCTGAATCAAGATGTGGTACACATGTAAAATTCATACTGAAGTTCAAAGACTTATAAAAAAAAGAATGTAAAACAACACAATAATATTTTCATATTGACTATACAATAAAATGAGATTTTGGATGTATTAAGTTGAATAAAACATTACTAAAATTAATGTTACCTATTTTTTCCACTTTTTAACATATAGCTATTAGAAAACATATGTAACTTGCCTCGTATGTCTACTGGTTAGCACTAGTTTAGATATTGATAACTTACAAATTTCTGTCTCCAGCCCCAAACTCTCCTGAACACCAGACTTCATATCCAAATGCCTACTTGATGCAGCCAGAAAAAAGACCAAAATCATGTTCTTTGCAGGAACATGGACACAGCTGGAGGCCATTACCCTAAGCAAATTAACACAGGAACAGAAAGCCAAATACCGCATGTTCTCACTTATAAGTGGGAGCTAAACATTGGATATTCATGGACATAAAGATGGCAATGGTAGACAGTGGGGACTACTAGAGGGAGGAAGGAAGAAGGGGAGCAAGGGTTGAATAACTATTGGGTACTGTGAACAATACCTGGGTGATGGGATCATTTGTACCCCAAACCTCAGCATCACATAATATACCCACGTAACAAACCCAGACATGTATCCCCGAATCTAAAATAAAAGATGAAATTATAAAAAAAAGTTATATTGAAGTGTCAAATATTGATTACAACTATTTTGAAGCACAGAATATATTTATTATTATCATGGTTAATACTGAGTGTCAACTTGATTGGATTGAAGGATGCAAAGCACTGATCCTGCAGGTGTCTGTGAGGGTGTTGCCAAAGAAGATTAACACTTGAGTCAGTGGGTTGGGAAAGGCAGACCCACCCTTAATCTGGGTGGGCACCATCTAATCAGCTGCCAGCATGGCTATAATATAAAGCAGGCAGAAAAAAAAAAAAACAACAAAAAAACATGAAAAGACTAGACTGGCCTAGCCTCCCAGCCTACATCTTTCTCTCATGCTGGACCCTTCCTGCCCTCAAACATCAGACTCCATGTTCTTCAGCTTTGGGACTCAGACTGGCTTTCCTTGCTCCTCAGCCTGCAGATGGCCTATTGTGGGACCTTGTGATTGTGTGAGTTAATACTTACTAAACTATATCTATATCTATATCTATATATCTATATCTATATATATATATATGACTCAAATGTTAATCTCCTTTGGCAACACCCTCACAGACTCACGCAGGATCAGTGCTTTGCATCCTTCAATCCAATCAAGTTGATACTCAGTAATAACCATGATAATAATCGATATATTTTATGCTTCAAAATTGTAATCAATATTTCACGCTTCAATATAACTTTTTTTATAATTTCATCTTTTATTTTAGATTCAGGGATACATGTGTGGGTTTGTTACATGAGTATATTATGTGATGCTGAGGTTTGGGGTACAATTGATATATATATATATATATCATATATATGTATATATCATATATTATCCCATTAGTTCTGTCCCTCTAGAGAACCCTGACTAATACAATTATAAAAACCAACAAATGCCTACTTGACATACCCACTTGATTATATAATAGATATCTCAAACTTAACAGCTCTCAAATGGAATTTCATATTTCCCCCTGCCCCAGACTGACCCACCTCAGTTTTTCCTATTTCAGTAAAAGTCACCACGGTTTTACTCAATTGCTTGGGCCCAAAACTTTGGAATCTTATTGACCACTCCCTTTCTCTCCCTCTCCATGCCCAATCCATCAAAGAATACATGTAGAATTAGCAACTTTTCACCTTTGTCCCTACCAGGCCCAAGTTGTGGATTGCTTTCACCAGGACAATGACCATAGCTTCCTGTATGTATCCTGGCTTCTCCACTTACTTTGTCCTGTCTATTTCTCTGCACAGCAGCCAAATGGATCCTTTTACAAACATTATACCGGTTAAGTCATTCCTGTACTCAAAAAACCCCACAGCAACTTTTAATCACCATAAAATCCACAATCCTTACCAATGTACAAGGCGCTTCTTGATGTGTCCTCCGGCCACCTCTCCAGATAATTTTCTGTCTTTTTTACCTTGTTCAGTGCATGTCGCCTATTCTGATCTGTTCATCGTTGCAGTTTCCTTTTTCTTTTCTTTTCTTGAGACGGAGTCTCACTCTGTCGCACAGGCTGGAGTGCAGTGGCACACTCATGACTCACTGCAGCCTTGACCTCCTGGGGTCAAGTGATCCTTCCACCTCAACCTCCCAAGTAGCTGGAACTACATTCACAGACTACCATGCCCACCTAATTTTTGTATTTTTTATAGAGGCAGGGTTTCACTGTGTTTTGCAGGCTGGTCTCAAACTCCTGAGCTCAAGAGATCTGCCAGCCTTGGCATCTCAAAGTGCTGGGATTACAGGCGTGTGCCACTGTGCCTGGCCATAAGCTACACATTGTTATATTGAGAAGATCCTCTTGAAAACATATGAGTTACAGCTGGCCCTCTGTATATGAGGATTCTGCATCTGCAAATACAACCAACCATAGACCAAAAATGTCTGAAAAAAATTAAAATGACAACAACAACAAAAAAACAAATAAAAAACCAACACAATGCAACAACTATTTACATAGCATTTACATTATATTAGGCATTATAAGTAATCTAGATATGATTTAAAGTATATGGGGGATGTGCATAGGTTGTATGCAAACACTACACCATCTTATATCAGGGATTTGAGTATCTGCAGATTTTGGTACCCACAGGGGGTCCTGGAACCAATCCCCCGTGAATACCAAGGGACAACTTTATATGTAAAAATTAAGGCTGCTGGATGGATACATTTTACCAGCATATATCTTGGTATATGCATTACTGTCAAACCCACTATTCACAAAACTTCTGCTACTTTATTTCTTTAATCCATCTTTGGTGAGGAAAAAAATGTGTGTACCAAGCTGCTGGTAGACGGCACCAGTCTGCATAAGATAATAGCCAAAACCAGAACCCCAAGTCAACATGCATGACTTGTAGAATATCTGAAGTTAATAATGTTCATGTAACCCAAAAAGAGCTAGTGGATTTTAGGACCAATGATAAGGATATTAAAGATCAAAGAGAATGAAATGTCAAAGAGAATGAAATGAAACCAGGTTTCTTAGTATCTGAAGAGATTTCTATTACAATCTCTCTATCCATAATTTGAAGTCTATTATCTTCTCCTTAAAATTGGACATTTGAAATAAATAAAACTGTACAAAAATTAGGGCAAATTACAATAGCCTGATAATTACAACCCCAAACTATATATTACTTTTTAATTTTTTAACAGATTGGCAGCCAGAAAAGAATATTTTCTTTGTATTTATTTTTTAAACAAGTAACTTTGAACTTACTTCACTTCCTTCCTTCCTTCTTTCCCTCCTTCCTTTCTTCCTTCCTTCCTTCCTTCCTTCCCTCTTTCTTTCTTTTCCTTTCCTTTCCCTTCTTTCTTCAAATAGCATCTGGACTGGATCTAAACTAAACTCACAGCACATTTATTTTGAGTGTCTGCTTTGAGGATCAGTGAGACTCAAGTGAAGTCTTCCCCATATGTAGACATGTTACTACTTTGAGTTACTCTCAGTTATACAGTTAATACTCTGAGAGTAACTGTCAATCAACCTAAGCAGTACAATCTGTCAGCAGGCTAGCAGGCTAAGAGCGGTCTGTCAGTTACTTTTTACTAACTTTGTAGTTCTTCATCCATAGTCATCTTTACGATTTCACTGGAAATAATAAAAATACATTCATTCATCCACTCAATAAGAAAACATTTACTGAGCACCTACTTTGTATTAGGTGCCATGAAGGCCTTAGAGATGTGGGATTTGATGGTTAATTGTTTGTGTCAACTTGACTGGATCCGGATGCCAGGTATTTAGCTAAACATTACTTTGGGGTGTGTCTGTGAGGGTGTTTCCAGATGAGATTAGAATTTGAATTCATGGGTTCAATAAAGCAGATTGTCCTCTATGGTTGTTAGATGTTTCAAAGAATCATATTTCTGACTGGTATTGAATCAGATGAGCACAGATGTCCCTTTTCTACTGATATTCTATTTGTCTCTGAGTCAAAGGATAATTACAGAATCCTACATTTTGCTTTGGTTGTGTAGACCGACCCAGACTTTGGATAACAGATGGGAAAACAGACTTTGAAACTAAAAGCCCAAGAATTATTGCGCCTATTTTTATCAGGTGGTTTTGTATAATCCTCAGATTGTAAAAAAATACCCTAAAGAAAGTTGTTTGTAGAATAAAATTTATCACAGTGAGTATTGTCACAGTGAAATATTTTAATAACAAATATATTGCCAAACAAATGATGAGCCACTATTATGAACACAGTCTTAGCCTGGCTTCTGCTCTATAACAGAATACCTGAGACTAGGTAATTTATTAAAAAACAAAAACAAAAATTTATTTCTTATACATGCTGAGCATCCCAAATCTAAAAATCCAAAATCCAAAATGCTCCAAAATCTGAAACTTTTGAACGCTGACAAGAAATACTCACTGGAGCATTTCAAGTTTCAGATTTGAGATGCTCCACCAGTCAGTATAATGCAAACACTAGCAAGATTCTAGAATGGATGACTGAGTGATTATTTATGTGTATTTACATAGGTGGGAGACAGCCATTAGTAGCCCTCTAGGGCCTACTAATTTGTTGTGTTCCATACCTCTGGAAACCTGATTATTGCAAGGGTCAGATCTTAGCAGCTGAGAAAAGAGCCAATGTGGGATATCTTGAGAATAAATGTCTGAGAAACCTGTCCCAAATCAGAATGGATATTTTAGGCTGGCATATAGCCCCCTATTCCTTTAAAGTTCATGCATATACTTCACTTCCCTGATGGAAAAGGCTATAAATCTGGAAGGATCACAGATATCTCATTTAATTTGCTGAAGACACTTAGGACTCAGAATGGTGCAGATTGCTGTGTCTGGGGTTGCATAGCTGACGGGTTGCGGAACTGGGACTGCAATTCAGATCTTTCAGCCTGCCATCAGGTGAGGGCTTTTCTAAGCATCACTGCCCCAAAGGATGGAATGAATGCCTTCCATGGCTGTGGATCATCTGGGCAGGGGTAATTATTGCCTCTCTTCTCAGGATGGAGGATTGACAGACAATCATCCAAACACTCATTCTCTGGCCACTGTGTGACCAATGGCAAGCATCTGTGAAGCACTGAAAGGCTGGGGAAAGAGGGTAAGGGAGTTAGGGCTCTAAGTAGCGTCGGCGACACCAGAGCTGTGCCAGAGCCTTCTGGTGTCCTTTATCTTCATATTCTCTTTCCAGTTCAAGCTACAAACTGTGTCTTGAAACTGTTGTTTCAGTATAAGGCACGGTATCTTAAATTTGTTAAAGTTTGCCTGAATAAATTTAAGCATGACTACTTTTAAGCATCTAGTTCACCTCTAAGAAAATCCAACTAAATCAAAAAGAAATCTGAAAAGAAAAATAACTAAGCCCACTTCACTGGCATTCACTAAATCACCACTTGTAAAGTGTCTGGCTCTCACTATGCATTTTA
This sequence comes from Homo sapiens, assembly GCF_000001405.40. Classification (NCBI taxonomy): domain Eukaryota; kingdom Metazoa; phylum Chordata; class Mammalia; order Primates; family Hominidae; genus Homo; species Homo sapiens. Next base: position 47,350,324 of record NC_000012.12, on the reverse strand, counting down.
CATGCATTGTTTAAAATCCTGACCACAATCTTATGACATAGAGATTACTTTTATTTTAAGGATAAGGAAATTGAGGCTCAGAGGGTTATCATACACTAGCAGGAAGTGGAACTTCTGAGAGTTGAACTCTCATGTTCCTCCCACTCTGATACATACTCTCTATTCACCCAACAAATATGTGTTAATTTTTTTTTTTGGAAGCATCATAGAAATTGTACCTCAAGTACTTGGAAAGACATTTGTTAAAGAAATAGAAACTTAGAGTCTGAGATCAGCCTGGCCAACATGGTGAAACCCCATCTCTACTAAAAATACAAAAATCAGCCTGGCATGGTGGTGCACGCAATCCCACCTACTCAGGAGGCTGAGGCAGGATAATCGCTTGAACCTGGGAGGCAGAGATTACAGTGAGCTGAGATCGTGCCACTGCACACCACCCTGGGCCTGGGCCACAGAGCTAGACTCTGTCTCAAAAAAAAAAAAAAGGAACTCATTTTTAAAGGCAGGCCAATACCATGTTCTATAAAATAAAATAGGTTTATAGATGCTTAAAGGGAAGTACTACTTCTGAAAAAAACAATGTGGTTTCCAGAGAAAGGTTATTTAGCCATTGATGAGGTTCTGGGACTTTATTAACCTTAATAAATGTAAGTTTGACTTTTAAAATTAAGCAAGAATAATGCAAAACTGAGGACAACTCCTGGCCCAGAGTAGAGTGTTGCCCATGGCTGGTGGATACATCATTGTAATGACACTGAGCATTCAGAAGGGCTAGTGAATATTTCAGTCTGAAGTTAACAGGAAATCAACTGTAAGGCTAATTTGTTACTGTACTAGGACACTATTTTACTGAATATAAATTACCTCTTTGGGTAGATATTTCTAGGAAAGAGATTACATTTCTCCTTGCCACATTTCTCTGCAAAGTGTTCCAAGTAACTGTCTACAGCAGAGGTTGGCAACCCTTCTGTAGCATAAATGTAGCCTGAGACAATATGTGAAAGAAAGAGAGTGGCTGTGTTCCAATAAAACTTTATTTAGAAAATGACAGAGGTGGGGAAAGGGGGCTGTAGTTTGCCCATCCCCGAACTACAGTATTAGTAAGCATTGGGTAATAAATGTCACTTCTACTTAAATGTCCAAGAGACCTGCAAAGCAAAGAATCCAAGTGCGTGTATTATTTTTTTAAAATCTCATTATGGATATTAGAGCATTCAAAGCCAACATAGAAAGTTACATTTCTTTAATGTGACTATTACCACCCTTGTTTTAAATGATTTGGATGAAACCTTTGGTGTTAACTTACCAGTTTTATTTTTTAGTAGCTCTGTATAAACCTAAAAAAGAATTGCCTTGAACAGTTTGGGCTGCTATAATAGAATACCACAGGCTGTGTGGCTTCAACAACAAACATGTATTTCTCGCAGCTCTGGAAGCTGGTGAATTGCCCTCTTCTTGGTTTGTAGAAGACTGTCTTTTTGTGTATTCTTACATAGTCCAGAGAGATCATCTCTCTTACTTATCTTCTTATAAGGGCACTAATCCCACTCATGAGGGCTCCCCTCTTATGACCTAATCACCTCCCAATGTCCCACCTCCTAATGTCATCACAGAGGGGGCTATAATTTCGACATATGAACTTGGCAGGGACACATTCAGCCTATAACAAGAATCTAGATGCCAGTGGTTGAAAGAGGCTAGGATGACCTTCCAGGTGTCTGCAATCATACAACTGATAGCAGTGCTACATCAGTATGTGGTTAATAGGTGATAAGCATCTTTCCAACTTATATATTATGCCATCTCTGACACTCTTATCGTTTTGCAGATTAGTGGCAGGCTAATTTCATTTGAATGAGTTATTGGAATTTTCTATGGCCAAAGTATATGGTAACTCTTATAAAATATTTCTTATGACTAAGCAATATTTCATGAAGGTTCCTGTTTGTTTTTGTTTGTTTGTTTTGGGGCATGTGTGTGTGTGTGTGACCACTGAATGGAATTATTTTTTAGTTAGCCCATAATAATATATTCAATAATGTTTAGTGAAGTTAATAAATTGAGTCAATTACAACTTCCTTCCCTAGAGATTCTTTTCAGGGTTGTGTTTCTTATTAAAAGTGATGACCAGGGCTGGGCATGGTGGCTCACACCTGTAATCCCAGCACTTTGGAAGGCCGAGGTAGGTGGATCACCTGAGGTCAGGAGTTTGAGACCAGCCTGGCCAACAGGGTGAACCCTCATCTCTACTAAAAATACAAAAATTAGCTGGGCATGGTGGTGGGCTCCTGTAATCCCAGCTACTTGGGAGGCTGAGGCAGGAGAATCACTTGAACCCAGAGGCAGAGGCTGTGGTGAGCCGAGATCATGCCATTGCACTCCAGCCTAGGTGACAGAGTGAAACTCCGTCTCAAAAAGAAAAAAAAAAAAAAATATGACCAAGCCTGGTGTCTCATGCCTGTAATCCTAGCACTTTAGGAGGCCAAGGTGGGAGGATCACTTAGGACCAGGAGTTTGAGACCTGCCTGGGCAACATGGTAAAACCCTGTCTCTACAAAAAAATACAAAATTTAGGTGGGTGTGGTAGCAAACAACTGTAGTCCCAGCTACTTGGGAGGCTGAGGTAAGAGAATCACTTGAACCTGGGAGATGGAGGCTGCAGTGAGCCATGATCACACCACTGTACTCCAGCCTGGGCAATAGAGTGAGACCCTGTCTCAAAAAAAAAGAAAAATTAGCTGGACTAGAGTATCACTTGGTCCCAGGAGTTCAAGGTTACAGTGAGCTATGAGCACACCACTGCACTCTAATCTGGCTGACAGAGTGAGAACCTGTCTCCAATAACTAATAATAATAATAATTTTAAAATATAAAATGACACATAGTTTACATATTTTTCTTAAGTTGTGATGGAGAACCTTCATAATAATATGAAAAATCCAATATATTATTCCTTAGGGTCTTAGTTATTAATCTCATTATGATGTCATAACAGATGTTGGCACTCAGCTCTAGGTAGAGAGAAGAGGTGGCATTGACAATTTAAAAATGATTTTAAAATCAGTCATTTTCTAATTCTATTTAGTAGTAACAGTAGCACTGTAGTAATTGCTGCAGTAGTAGCAGTTAACATTTACTGAGTTCTAACACATAAAAAACTGTACTAAACACTACACATATATATCATTTAATCCCCAAAATAGCTAATGTTGGAGGTATAATTTTACAGATGAGGAAATGAAATGGCAAGAGGTTACAAAATGTATCCAAAGTTAGAGGACTCAAACCAAATCAGTCTGATAGCAAAGTCACTGCTTTTAACTACAATGTCAGTGATCTCAAAGTGTGGTCCCCAGACCAGCAGCATCAACATCACCTGAGAATGTGTTAGGAATGCAGATTCTCAACCCTCATCCCCATCAGCTGAATCAGCAACTCTGGAGGTGGGGACACATTTGTCACATTCTCTCTAGGTAATTCCAAAGTCCACTGACATTTGACAACCTCTGTACTATGCTAAGCTGCATTTAGAAGAAGTACCAAACACTGAGTAAACATTAGTTGTGCAATTAAGCAAATGCGATAACAGGAGAGAACTACCCAGCACAGCACAGAGCTCACAGTGAGCAGTAGCTTATAATAGTTTATTTCTGTTATATTAATACCCACCACATCTGTCTATTGTGAAGTTAGATTATTAAAAACTGTTCCTGAACTGCTATCTGCATTCTAAGTTGGGAGGGGAGAAGCCCAGCACACTGTACTTAGAAAGAAATTATCCTTCCGGGCCAACGAAGATCTTGAGCAATTGTTTTTTAGCTAAAAAACTAATTCCACATTTTGTATTCATCAAAATGCCCATTGCTTTATCTGGATTTGAGGGTAGGAGAAATCCACATATTTGACAACATTCCTTTGAATGAAACTAAGAAGTAATGTTGGTAGTGGTGGCCTGAGTGATACATGTGATTGTGGCAGAGATTAATGGTGACCAAAGAAACTTAACAAGTTTTAAAATTATAAAATAGGCCTCTCAGTGCCGCTTAATCACACAGGTCCAGTGTGTGCTTGGTGTCTTTTCTGGGAGGCAGAGGAAGGCTCTCCTAATCACAACAGACCTGCCCAGAAGGGCCTCTCTATTTCTAGGAGTATGATAGCTTTTGGGGGGAAAAAAAAGAAAATAATGGATGCTGCCGGGTGCGGTGGCTAATGCCTGTAATCCCAGCACTTTGGGAGGCTGAGGTGGGCAGATCACGAGGTCAGGAGTTCAAGATCACCATGGCCAACATGGTGAAACCCCGTCTCTACTAAAAATACAAAAATGATTTAGGTGTGGTGGTGGGCGCCTGTAATCCCAGCTACTCAGGAGGCTGAGGCAGGAGAATCGCAATTATCATGTATCAATAAAAATTTTATTAAACTATCATTCATAGCATCCATTCTTTTCTTTCTTTTTTTTTTTTTGAGACAGAGTCTTGCTCTTGTTGCCCAAGCTAGAGTGCAATGGCACAATCTGGGCTCACTGCAACCTCCGCCTCCTGGGTTCAAGTGATTGATAAATGATAATTGTACATATGTATGGGATACGTGTGATATGTATTAAACATGCATACAATGTGTAATGATCAAATCAGGGTAATTGGGAGATTTGTCACTTCAAACATTTTTTTATTTTTTATGTTGGGAACATTCCAAATATTCTCTTTTAGCTATTTTGAAATATACAACAAATTATTGTTAATTATAGTCACCCTACTATGCTATGGAACACTAGAACTTATTCCTTCTAATTGTATTTTTGCACCTTTAACCAGCCTCTCTTTATTTCCCATCCCCAACCTTTCCCAGCCTCTAGTAATTATTATTCTACTCTCTACATCCATGAGCTCAATATTTTTAGCTACCACATATGAGTGAGAACATGCAATATTTCCACTTCTTCTACCCATTATTCTGGGCCTGGTTTATTTCACTTAACATAATATCTTCCAGTTCCATCTATGTTAATGCAAATGACAGAACTTCATTCTTTTGTGGCTGAATAGTATTCCATTGTGTATATGTATACAATTTTTTTTAATCCATTCATTGAGGGACACTTAGGCTGATTCGATATTGTGACTTTTGGGATTGCTGAATTGTATGGCACATCTATCTTTAGTTTTTAGAGGAAGGTCGATACTGTTTTCCACAGTGGCTGTACCAGTTTCCACTCCCCCCGGTAGTGGACTAGTGTTCTCCTTTCTCTGCATCCTAACCAGCATTTGTTGTTGTTTTTTTTGATAATAGCCTATTTTAATGGATGCTATCAATAATATAATTTAGTAGGATAGTTTTAGTGATACCTTTTTGAATTTATATTTTCATAACTTGTGAAATGTCCCTCACACCTCATCTTTTGGCCTCTTCTCTATCTCTAAGATTTTGCAAAACCTTGCACACATGCATGACTCGGAATGCCAGGCATAATGGAAAGTTGCCACACAAGAAAAGAAAGAAAAACTCGGCTAGGCGTGGTGACTCAGGCCTGTAAATCCCAGCACTTTGGGAGGCTGAGGTGGGCAGATCACGAGGTCAGGATATCGAGACCATCCTGGCTAACATGGTGAAACCCCGTCTCTACTAAAAATACAAAAAACTAGCTGGGTGTGGTGGCACGTGCCTGTAGTCCCAGCTACTCGGGAGGCTGAGGCAGGAGAATCGCTTGAACTTGGGAGGCGGAGGTTGCAGTGAGCCAAGATTGCACCACTGCACTCCAGCCTGGGCAACAGAGTGAAACTCCATCTCAAAAAAAAAGAAAAAAAGAAAAACTCATTTCTGTTGAACACTTTTTAACATGAAAAAAAGGTAACTTTTTTTGGTAAGTGATTCTAGTGGTGGTGTATGGAAGACAGGAGGGTGGTCAGTATCAGAAGAGATCACATTCAGCTCAAAGAGTTCAAGAGAAGATAGAGTTGGAAAACATGCTGTTCTACCTTTATGCTACACAATTTTAAACTAAAGGACCTCAAAATGGGTTATTGTTCACATTTTCCATAATTCTCTTAGTGAGACTTGCATTTGTGGTCATCAACAGTGAATCGCAGTAATTACCTTGGAGAGAGTTATTGGAAACAGGCCACACAGTAGAAGATCCAGTGACATGTGTAATGATGTAACCAGCATTAAATAAATGGACCTAGGGAACTGAAGAGACAAGCAGGTCTGTATGGTTCCAATATAAACAGGTTCCCAAGAGTCATGACATTGTGAGTCATGATGGTACCGCTAACTTTTTTTTTGCAGGGAGGCAGTATAATATATAATTGGTAAGATTAAATCTTTTAAGTGTACAACTTTATGAATTTGGACAAATGCATACAGTCATATAACTGCCACCACAATTAAGATTTTCAATGTACATCTTAAACTAATCACAGTCTAGATTCAAGGAGTATTCTACCTCTTCACTGTGTGGTGCCCCAACTGGTGTACTAGGGTTATGGCTGTCATACATTTTGCTTTTACATATGCTACACACCCACAAAACTACTGTACTTTCCCTGTACTCACTCTTTTCCCTGTTTTCACTACTACTATTTTTAAAATTTAGCTAATCAATTATCTTTTACAGCTATTAAAAGTCAGAAAAAGTCTTTTACGTTTATCTTCATTTTAACCATTTCTGGAATCTTCATTTCTTTGTGTAGATCCAACTTTCTCTCTGGTATGTAGAACTTAAGCCTGAAAAACTTCCTCTAATATTTCTTATAGTCCGCTTCTGGGTAATGAATTCTCTGCTTTTGTGTGAAAAGTCTTAATTTCTCCTTCATTTTTGAAAGATATTCACACTGCGTATAGAATTGTGGAGAGTTATTATTTTTCCCTTCTCTCAGCAGTTTAAACATGCCAATTTGTCTCCAGACTTGCATGGTTTCTGAAGCCTGCCATAATTCATTTTTTTCATTTTTTTATTATTATACTTTAAGTTCTAGGGTACACGTGCACAATATGCAGGTTTGTTACATATGTATACATCTGCCATGTTGGTGTGCTGCACCCATTAACTTGTCATTTACATTAGGTATATCTCCTAATGCTATCCCTCCCCCAACCCCCCACCCCATGGCAGGCACCGGTGTGTGATGTTCCCCATCCTGTGTCCAACTGTTCTCATTGTTCAATTCCCACCTATGAGTGAGAACATGTAGTGTTTGGTTTTCTGTCCTTGTGACAGTTTGCTCAGAATGATGGTTTCCAGCTTCATCCATGTCCCTATAAAGGACATGAACTCATCCTTTTTTATGGCTGCATAGTATTCCATGGTGTATATGTGCCACATTTTCTTAATCCAGTCTATCATTGATGGACATTTGGGTTGGTTCCAAGTCTTTGCTATTGTGAATAGTGCCACAATAAACATACGTGTGCATGTGTCTTTATAGCAGCATGATTTATAATCCTTTGGGTATATACCCAGTAATGAGATGGCTGGGTCAAATGGTATTTCTAGTTCTAGATCCTTGAGGAATCACCACACTGTCTTCCACAATGGTTGAACTAGTTTACAGTCCCACCAACAGTATAAAAGGGTTCCTATTTCTCCACATCCTCTCCAGCACCTGTTGTTTCCTGACCTTTTAATGATTGCCATTCTAACTGGTGTGAGATGGTATCTCATTGTGGTTTTGATTTGCATTTCTCTGATGGCCAGAGTGAACGGGCAACCTACAGAATGGGAGAAAGTTTTTGCAATCTACCCATCTGACAAAGTGCTAATATCCAGGATCTACAAAGAACTTAAACAAATTAACAAGAAAAAATCAAACAACCCCATCAAAAAGTGGGCGAAGGATATGAACAGACACTTCTCAAAAGAAAACATTTATGCAGCCAACAGACACATGAAAAAAGGTACCGCTATCTTTTTGTCATGGTGGGAAATGTGAAATTATCCAGGAATGGCATCTGTGACAATAAAGAAGATGAAAAGATGATTCCTAGACCAAAATAGGAAGAGATGATGTCTGGATATTTGCCCTGATTTGACAATAAATAAATATGTAAGCATCTCTTCTACTCCTTTCTACCCATTATTCTGAATTTTTATTGATAAATCACTATACTTTCCAGAGCCCACACAATTTGTAAAGCATTTTCAATAAAACTGTTTAGTTAGGCAAGGCTTCTTAAAATGTATACATATATTTTCCTTGCTTTGCAGATGGATGCCTCCCAGAGCCACCTGCACCCGTCATGGTCAATCCCACTGTGTTCTTTGATGCCATCATCAACTTGGGCTGTGTCTTCTTTGAGCTGTTTGCAGACAAAGTTCCACAGACAGCAGAAAATTTTGTACTTGAGAGCTGGCGAGAGAGGATTTTGTTATATGGGTTCTTACTTTTACAGAATTATTCCAGGCCTTACGTGCTAGGGTGGTGACTTCATGCCATTATGGCGTTGGTGACAAGCTTATCTACAGAGAGAAATTTGATGATGAGAATCTCATCCTGAAGCATACAGGTCCTGGCGTGATGTTCATGGTAAATGCAGGACTCAGCACAAACAATTCCCAGTTTTTCATCTGCACGGCCAAGACTGAGTGGTTACATAGCAAGCCTGTTGTCTTTGGGAAGATAAAAGAGGGCATGAATATTGTGGAAACCATGGAGCACTTTGGATCCAGGAATGGCAAGACCAGCAAGAATATCACCATTGCCAATTGTGGGAAATGCTAGTAAATTTGACTTGTTTTATCTTAACCACCAGACCATTTTTTCTGTAGCTCAGGAAAGCACCCTTCCACCCCATTTACTTGCAATATCCTATAATCTTTGTGCTCTCACTGCAGTTCTTTGGGTTCTATATTTTTCCTATCCCCTTCACATCTAGCTGGATTGCACAGTTAAGTTTATTAATTATGAAATAAAAATTAAATAACAATAAACAATTTTCCAGGGGCCCTATATATCCCACATAGTAGCAGCTCTGCTTGGCTGTGACCCTATGTTTGAGAGTTAACAAGTATTAATTGATGCACTACATACGGTAGTATCATGTTCTGTCAAATGCTGTTATTCCAGCCCCAAAAAACTGTATAAGGCAAACCTTGCCTTAAGAGCCATGGTCTTGCTGGTAATACAGAACTTACCCATATGAAACATATCAGGAGATACATAAAATTAGATATTATATGGTGCCTAATCAATTAGATGTAACTTTAAACATGGTAGACATGGTTAATGCTCAGGATTGAGGGAGGGTCAAGCTCAGTCTGGGCTGGTGTCTCAAGGAAAGCTTGGTGGCACTTGATGTAGCCCTGAGGCACATGCTGAACTTGGACAGGCTCAGAAGTGTGCAGAAAGCTGGCAGGGTGTAGGGGGCAACAGTAGGAATATCTTAGGGAGGAAGCCTCTCTATTGAGAGTCAGACTTGGGGGCATTCTGAACTAAAGAAGGTGCAGCCTCTGCTGTTTCTTGGAACTAGGCTCTTGAGCTATTAACAGCAGAAAAACCACCCTGCGGGGAGAAGTGGCAAGCTATCAGGACACCCTTCACTACCCTGTGAATAGGAGACACTGACGGAATGCATTTTGGGGCGGAAATCTCTCACTGGAAATAATCTTGGTGATTTCTTTAACGTCAGTATCTCGACTCAGACTTAGCCCAACAACTACATTCTTGCCACACTCTCTCCATCTTCTTCAGGTCGTCTTTCTGTCGTGCTGTCTTAGGAACAATTTCTGTTCTTGCCTGTTTGCCATCTAAGCCCTCACCTCATTCTCTAAGCATGAATACCAATTTTCACCTTGCACTTTTGCCAAACCTCAGCTCAGTGTTGACTTGAAGCCAGAAGAACTGTGACTGAGGCTGAATTTGCCACTTATTTTCTCTATAACCTTGGGCAGGGCACTGTGTGCCTCAGAACTTCTATTTCTCTGTTTGTAAATGAAGATAATGATGCCTTGCGACTTACTTCATGGGGGTATTTTGAGGAGAAAATAAACTACTTTAGTTTAAAATAATAATACCTAATAATAATGATAATAATAATAATATCTAATACTTAAATAGAACTTATTCTATGTCAGGCAATCTTCTAAGTGCTTTAGATATATTAATTATTTTAATTCTCACCATAACCCTGTGAAGAAGAAATTATTATCACCATTTACAATGAGAAAGTTTAGGCATAGAGAAATTAAGTAAAAATAACACAATTGTTAAGTGTAAGAGCTGAGATTTAAACCTTGGCAGTCCGGTTCCAGAATCTGTTCCCTCAACAACCACATTATATTGTTTATCTAATAATAAGAAGAACTAACACTTGTGTAAGGCTTACTACATGCCAGATACTATTCCAATGGTCCAATTAACTTACTTAACTGTCACAATAGTCCTTTGAGGTATCTGTGAGGAAGATGCTGTTATTACCTGTATTAAAATGCTCTGTGAAGACTTCCACATGTAGGAAGGCAGAATAGATGTACTTTCCTTATTCCTCCTACTAAGTACAAAAGAAAACCCTGTCCAGCATACATAAATCAAACACAGGGAAACTCTAAAAGGTGAGATAAGAAGGTAGACTGACTAGGGACCTCAGAATCGAAGAAACAATATGTTGGTAAGCTCCCTGGTTTTTTGTTTTCCCCTCATACAACTCAGACTTGGAGTTGAAGAAGGTAGCAACCTGAAAATGCCAATGGGTGTAAACAAACAAAGAAACAAACAAAAAAGCCCCAACAAAAACTTGCTCTCTCTAGCCAAAAGAAAGGACCAGGCTGGGCCGGACAGCTCAACACCTATAATCCCAGCACTTTGGAGGGCCATGGCAGGAGGATTGCTTGAGGCCAGGGATTCAAGACTAGCCTGGACAACACAGCAAGACCCTGTCTAGAGAGAGAGAGAGAGAGAGAGAGAGAGAGAGAGAGAAAGGACCAGGAAAGGAACACCCTAGCAAGACAAAAGACCTTCGAGATAATAGCTGCTCTACACTAGACAAACACCACAGAAAAATCCCTGGTCCCATTCCCACCTATGCCAGCAAAGGCTGAATGAGGAGCCTAGACTTCCACCTTTGCGCAGCTTTAAAAAGGGGCCCAAACTTCCTTATCAGCATGGTATCAGAAAAGGCTGAGTAGAGAGCCTAGACTTTTATTGCATGGAGGTAATGAAGCCTCTCTCATGTAGTGTTGGGGAGATCAGCTGCGGAGCTGGATTCCCATCCTCATCTAATAGTAATAAGGCACCCTTCTCCATCCCCACTGGGATGGAGTCAGAGGAGGCCTAGTGTGGAGAGTCAGGAGTTTCACCACCACCCAATCATAATGAGGTCCTTCTACATCTCCACCATAGTAACAACGGGAGTATATAAGGAGCTGCGGGTACATAAGGAGCAGCACTCTGGTAAGGGTACATAGTGAGGCACCCCTATGCTACCAGCCAGGGAGATCTCAATGGAGGCCTAATGAGGAAACAGAATTCTCACCTATACCCAATGGCAAAGAGGATACACTTATTTCTTTACCCCTCATAAAACTCAGACTTGGAGCTGAAGAAGGTAGCAACCTGAAAATGCCAATGGGTGTAAACAAACAAACAAACAAACAAACAAAAAAGCCCCAACAAAAACTTGCTCTCTCTAGCCAAAAGAAAGGACCTCAGCAGCCACCAAAGTTATTTGGCAAATCTGGATAACCTCACTTGGCAGTAATGAGGTAGTCCCCTTTCCTTCCCCTGCCAGAATAGTGTCAGAGGAAGCCAAAAAAAATGAAGGTTAAATAAGCTCCAGAGTCTTATAGTACCCCCAAATGTCCAGATTTCAATAAAAAAACACTTATCAAGAACAAGGAAGATCTCAAAATAAATTTTTAAAAAGACAATCAATAGACACCAGCAGAGAGATGACAAGGATACTGGAATTATCTGACAAAGATTTTAAAGTACTCATAAAAATGCATCAGCAAACAATTATGAACACACTTGAAACAAATGAAAAGACAGCATCAGTAAAATAAATAAATAAATAAATAAAAAATAAAGAACATTTCAGGAAAGAAAGAAAAGACATAAAAAGGAATCAAATGAAAATTTTAGAACTGAGAAATACAGTAACCAAAACTTTAAAACTCTCTGGTTGGGCCCAATGACAGAATAGATGAAGCAGGGAAAATATTAAGTAAACTGAAGTTAAAAAAATAGAAATTATCCAATCCTAAAAAGAAAGAGAAAATAAACAAATAAACACAGTCTCAGGGACCTGTGAAACTATAACAAAAGATCTCATATTCATGTGATGAGAAAAGACCCTGAAGGAGAGGAGAGGAGAAAGAAGGCAAGGCTGAAAGCATACTCGAAGAAATATTGGCAAAAAGTTCTACAAATTTGACAAAAGATATAAACCTATAGATTCAGTAAGTTAAACAAATTCCAAAAAGGTTAACCTAAAGAAATCCACAACAAGACATACACAAAGTCAAACTTCTGAAGACTAAAAACAACAACAACAAAATACCTTGGAAACAGTAAAAGAGAAATGACATCTTACCTATTAAGTGGAAAATTCAAATGACAGGTGATTTTTCTTCTGAAACCATGGAGGCCAGAAGGAAGTGGCATATTCTTCAGCTACTGAAAGAAAACAACTATTCTCAAGTCCTATAACCAGCAAAAACATCCCTCAGAAATGAAGAAGAAATCAATATATTCTCAGATGAAAAAAGATGAAAAGAATTTGTTGCCAGAAGACCTAAAAAAATACCTGATGTTCCCGAAGCAGAAAGCAAATAATAAAAGAAGAAATCTTGGAATATCAGGAAGAAGGAAAGAACATGGAAAGCAAAAATGTGGGTAAACACAGTAAACTTCCCTTCTCCTCTTGAATTTTCTAACTTATATTTGATGCTGGAAACAAAAATTAAATATTGGCTGGGTGCAGTGGCTCAAACCTGTAATCCCAGCACTTTAGGAGGCCAAGGTGGGTGGATCACTTGAGGTCAGGAGTTTGAGACCAGCTTGGCCAACATGGTGAGACCCCATCTCTACTAAAAACACAAAAATTAGCCAGGCATGCTGGTGCATGCCTGTAATCCCTGCTACTCGTGCGGCTGAGGTTGGAGAATCACTTAAACCCTGGAAGCAGAGGTTGCAGTGAGCTGAGATCGCACCACTGCACTCCAGCCTGGGCAACAGAATGAGATTCTGTCTCAAAAAAAAAAATTATATATTGTCTAAGTACTATAACATTACCCTAATTGTGTATAGAAAAATTACTAAGACTATTACAAGCAGGGGAGGGTAAAGGGAGGCATAATTTCTATACTTCACTCAAATTGGTAAAATGAAAACTTCAATAGACTGTGATTAGTTGTGCATATATTATGTCACACCTAAAACACCAAAAAATAAAAAGGTTATACAAATACATACACTAAAAAATGCTATAGGTAAATATAAATTGAATTCTAAAAGAGTAACTCTCAGAAAGACAGGAAAGACAAATGAAAACAAAGATCAAACAAAAAACAAAACCAAAAAAATTACAGTAAATGGAAATGGTCTAAATATATCAATTAAAAGATATTGTTACAGTGGATTATAAAACATGACCCAACTATATGCTGTCTACAAGAAACTCACTTCAAATACAATGATATAGGCAAGATGAAAGCAAAAGGATAGAAAAATATATTGTGTAAATATTAATTTTAAAAAGCAAGAGTAGACATATTATTAGGTACACTAGGCTTTAGAAAAAAAAAAATTACCAGAGACAGAGAGGGATATTATATAATGATAAAAGGGTCAGTCCACCAAAAGACATAGTAATCCTAAATGTGTATGCTCCAAACAACAGAGATTCAAAATATGTGAAGCAAAACCAATAAGACTGAAAGAAAAAATAGAGAAATCCACAATTACAGTTGGAGACTTCAACCTACCCCTCTCAACAATTGGCTTAACAACTAGAAAGAAGATCGGGAAGAATATAGGACTCAACAACACCATCAACCAACAAGATCAAATAGACATTTAGAGAACACTATACCAAACAGCAGCAGTACACAGGTTCTCTTCAATGGCCTCTGTATTAGTCCATTTTCACACTGCTGATAAAGACATACCCAAGACTGGGCGATTTATAAAGAAAAAGAAATTTAATGGATTTACAGTTCCACGTGGCTGTGGAGGCCTCACAATCATGGCAGAAGGCAAAAGGCACTTCTTTTTCTTTTTCTTTTTTTTTTTTTGAGATGGAGTCTCACTGTGTCACCCAGGCTGGAGTGCAGTGGCATGATCTTGGCTCACTGCAACCTCTGCCTCCCAGGTTCAAGCAATTCTTCTACCTTAGCCTCCCAAGTAGCTGGGATTACAGGCACCGGTCACCATACCCAGTTAATTTTTGTATTTTTAGTAGAGACGAGGTTTCACCATATTGGCCAGGCTGGTCTTGAACTCCTGACCTCAGGGGATCCACCTGCCTTGGCCTCCCAAAGTGTTGGTGGCAGCAAGAAAGAATAACAGCAGCCGGATGCAGTGGCTCATGCCTGTAATCCCAGCACTTTGTAATCCCAGCACTTTTTTTTTTCTCAAAAAAAAAAAAAAGAAAGAAGGAAATAACAGAACTTGTGCAGGGAAACTCCCCTTTATAAAACCATCAGATCTCATGAGATTTAATTCACTATCAGGAGCACAGCACAGGAAAGACCCGCCCCCATGATTCAATTACCTCTCACTGGGTCCCTCACATGACACACGGGAATTGTGGGAGCTATGATTCAAGATGATATTTGGGTGGGGACACAGCCAAACCATATCAGCCACTAAACATATATTAAGAAAAATGATATCGTGAGAAAACAATCTTAACAAATTATAAAAATTGAAAACTTTTTTTCAATTTCAATTCAACATTTTCAATTTCAAGGTGGGAGGAGTGCTTGAGCCCAAGAGTTCAAGACCTGAGTGACATAGCAAGATCCTGTCTGTATTTTTTTTAAAAAACAAACAACAGGAAAATCTCCAAACACTTGAAAACTAAATACACTTACAAATAACATGTGGGCCAGAGATAAAATATATTAAAATTTAAAAATACATTAAACTAGGCTGGGCGCAGTGACTCACACCTGTAATCCCAGCACTCTGGGAGGCTGAGGCGGGTGGATCACGAAGTCAGGAGATCGAGACCATCCTGGCTAACATGGTGAAACCCCGTCTCTACTAAAAATACAAAAATTAGCTGGGTGTGGTGGCAGGCGTCTGTAGTCCCAGCTACTCGGGAGGCTGAGGCAGGAGAATGGCGTGAACCTGGCAGGCGGAGCTTGCAGTGAGCTGAGATCATGCCACTGCACTCCAGCCTGGGCAACAGAGCAAGACTCTGTCTCAAAAAAAAAAAAATTACACTAAATAAAAATGAGCCTGCAACATATCAAAATCTGTGTGACACAAGTAAAGTAGTGCTGAGGGAGAAATTTAAGGACTAAATGCTTACGTTAGAAAAGAAGTTAAGTCTCCACTCAATAATCTAAGCTTCTACCTCAAGAACCTAAAAAAAGAAATACAAAATAAACCCAAAGCAAACATAAAGAAGAAAATAAACATAATGTGTCCGGAATTGGTGGGTTCTTGGTCTCACTGACTTCAAGAATGAAGCCACAGACCCTCCTGGTGAGTGTTACAGCTCTTAAGGTGGTGCGTCTGGAGTTTGTTCCTTCTGCTGTTCAGATGTGTTCAGAGTTTCTTCCTTCTGGTGGGTTCGTGGTCTTGCTGGCTCAGGTGTGAAGCTGCAGACCTTCGCGGTGAGTGTTACAGCTCTTAAGGCAGCGCGTCTGGAGTTGTTCATTCCTCCCGGTGGGCTCGTGGTCTCGCTGGCTCAGGAGTGAGGCTGCAGACTTTCATGGTGAGTGTTACAGCTCATAAAAGCAGTGTGGACCCAAAGAGTGAGCAGTAGCAAGATTTATTGCAAAGAGTGAAAGAACAAAGCTTTCACAGTGTGGAAGGTGACCTGAGCGGGTTGCCACTGCTGGCTCTGGCAGCCTGCTTTTATTCTCTTATCTGGCCCCACCCACATCCTGCTGATTGGTAGAGCAGAGTGGTCTGTTTTGACAGGGCGCTGATTGGTGCGTTTACAATCCCTGAGCTAGACAAAAAGGTTCTCCACCTCCCCACCAGATTAGCTAGACACAGAGTGTGGACACAAAGGTTCTCCAAGGCCCCACCAGAGTAGCTAGATACAGTGTCAACTGGTGCATTCACAAACCCTGAGCTAGACACAGGGTGCTGATTGGTGCGTTTACAAACTTTGAGCTAGATAGAGTGCCAATTGGTATATTTACAATCCCTGAGCTAGACATAAAGGTTCTCCAAGGCCCCACCAGAGTAGCTAGATACAGAGTGTCCATTGGTGCATTCACAAACCCTGAGCTAGATACCAAGTACTGATTGGGGTATTTACAATCCCTGGGCTAGACATAAAGGTTCTCCACGTCCCCACCAGACTCAGGTGCCCAGCTGGCTTCACCCAGTGGATCCCTCACCAGGACTGGAGGTGGAGCTGCCTGCCAGTCCCGTGCAGTGTGCCCACACTCCTCAGCCTTTGGGTGGTCGATGGGACTGGGTGCCATGGAGCAGGGGGCAGCGCTCATCGGGGAGGCTCGGGCCTCACGGGAGCCCATGGAGGAGGTGGGAGGCTCAGGCATGGCAGCCTGCAGGTCCCAAGCCCTGCCCCGTGGGCAGCTAAGGCCCAGTGAGAAATCGAGGGCAGCGCCGGTGGGCTGGCACTGCTGGGGGACCCAGTACACCCTCCGCAGCCACTGGCCCAGGTGCTAAGCCCCTCATTGCCCGGGGCCGACAGGGCCGGCCAGCTGCTCAGAGTGCAGGGCCCGCCAAGCCCATGCCCACCCGGAACTCCAGCTGGCCCGCAAGGGCGGTGCGCAGCCCCGGTTCCCACTGGCGTCTCTCCCTCCACACCTCCCTGCAAGCTGAGAGAGCAGGCTCCGGCCTTGGCCAGCCCAGAAAGGGGCTCCCACAGTGCAGCAGTGGGCTGAAGGGCTCCTCAAGTGCTGCCAAAGTGGTAGCCCAGGCAGAGGAGGCACAGAGAGCGAGCGAGGGCTGTGAGGACTACCAGCACGCTGTCACCTCTCAATAAGGAAGATGAGAGTAGAAATCAATGAAATTAAACACAGAAAAACAAAAATGTTAACAAAACAAAAACCTGGTTATTTCAAAAGATTAATAAAATTGACAAACCTGTAGCAAGATTTACAAAGAAAACAAGGAAAGAAAACACAAATTACTAATATCAGGAATGAAACAGGCGATATCACTAAAAATCCTGCAAACATCAAAAAATAATAAGTGAACACTACAAACAATTATATACACATTAATCTGACAACTTAGATGGTATGAACTAATTCTGCAAATAACACAAACTACCACAACTCATGCAATATGAAATAGATAATTCAAAAAACCCCATGACTCCTAAGGAAATTGAATTAGTAATTTTACAACTTTCAGAAAAGAAAGCTCCAGACCCGATGGTTTCACTGGAGAATTATACCAAATATTTAAAGAAGAGCAAACACCAATTGTATACAATCTATTGCAGAAATAGAAGAGAAAAGGGTACTTCTCTATTCATTTTATGAAGCTAATATTGCTCTGATACCAAATCCAGAATAGGACAGTCCAAAAAAGAAAAACACAGACCAATATCCCTCTTTAATATACATGTAGAAGTCCTTAACAAAATATTAACAAATAGAATTCAACAAAATAGAAAAAGAATTCTACATTATGTCCAAGTGGAGTTTATTCCAAAGATGCAAGGAGAATTCAACATTTTTTAACATTTCACAGATTTATTCATTTATTTTTATAAATTGTGTGAATTAATTTTTTTTACATGAATAAGTTTTTTAGTGGTGATTTCTGAGTTTCTGGTGCACCCATCACCAGAGCAGTGTACACTGTACCCAGTGTGTAGTCTTTTATCTCTCACCCCCGTCCCACCCTTTCCCCTGAGTCCCCAAAGTCCATTGTATCATTCTTATGCCTTTGCATCCTCATAGTTTAGCTCCCACTTATAAGTGAGAACATACAATGTTTGGTTTTCCATTCTTTTTTTTTTTTGAGATGGAGTCTCACTCTGTCGCCCAGGCTGGAGGGCAGTGGCTCCATCTCGGCTCACTGCAAGCTCCGCCTCCCGGGTTCACGCCATTCTCCTGCCTCAGCCTCCCAAGTAGCTGGGACTACAGGTGCCCGCCACCATGCCAGGCTAATTTGTTGTATTTTTAGTAGAGATGGGGTTTCACCGTGTTAGCCAGGATGGTCTTGATCTCCTGACCTTGTGATCTGCCCGCCTCGGCCTCCCAAAGTGCTGGGATTACAGGTGTAAGCCACTGGACCTGGCCTGGTTTTCCATTCTTGAGTTACTTCACTTAGAATAATGGTCTCCAGTTCCATCCAGGTTGCTGAAAATGCCATTATTTCATTCGTATTTATGCCTGAGTAGTGCAAAGTCAACATCTGAAAGTCAATCAGTGTAATCCATCATATTAACAAGCTAACAAAGAAAAAATTATCTGCTCGTATCAACTGATGCAGAAAAAAAATTTGACAAAATTCAACGCCCATTTATTGTAAAAACAAATACCGAAAGCGCTTAGAAAACCAGGAATGGTGGAGACTTCCTCAACTTAATAAAGAGCATCCACAAAACCCCTGCAGCTAACATCATACTTAATAATCAAAGTTTGAATGCATTCCTTCTAAGATTGGGAACAAGGCAAATATGTCCACTCTCACCACTCTTATTTGGCATAGTGCTGGAAGTTCTAGACTGTGCAATTAGGTAAGAAAAGAAGATAAAAACACGCAAATTGGAACAGAATAAATAAAATTGTTTATATTTGAAGACAACATAATTATTTACATAGAAAATCCCAAGGAATATATAAAAACATTCATAGAACTAATAAATGAGTTCAGTGACATCTCAGGATACAAGATAAACATACAAATAGTAACCATTGTATTTCTATGCACTACCAAAGAACACATGTACACCAAAATTTAAAATAAAATAACATTGGTTGGGCACAGTGGCTCATGCCTCTAATCCCAGCACTTTGGGAGACCAAGGTGGGCAGATCACCATGTCAGGAGATCAAGACTGTCTGGCCAACATGGTGAAACCCCATCTCTACTAAAAATACAAAAATTAGTTGGGCGTGGTGGCACGTGCCTGTAGTCCCAGCTACTCGGGAGGCTGAGGCAGGAGAATTGCTTGAATTCAGAAGGGGAAGGCTGCAGTGAGCCAAGATCACACCACCGCACTCCAGCCTGGGTAACAGAGTGAGACTCTGTCTCAAAAAACACAAAACAAACAAACAAACAAAACATTTATAGTAGTTCAGAAAAAAATAAAATACCTAGGCGTAAACCTAGTAACTCATGTATAGGAAACTTGCAAATGAAAAGTTATGTAATAGTGCTGAAAGAAATCAAAGATCTATATAAATAGAAAGATGTACCATGCTCCTGGAAAACTCAATGTAGTAAAGACGTCAGTTTTCTCCAAATTTATGTATAGGTTTAATCTGATTTCTATCAAAATCTCAGGACAATTTTTTACAGATATAGAGAAGATAAGTCTAAAATTTATATAAAAAGGCAAAGGAACCATGATAGTTCAAATATTTTGAAAAAATAGAATGAAGTGGGAATAATCAGTCTTCCTGTTTTCAAGAATTATTATGTAGCTACATTAATCAAGACTGTGTGGCATTGATGGAAGGATAGACACATAGATCATGAAAAAGGAATAGACCCACACAAATATGCCCAACTGATTTTCAACAAAGTGCGAAAGCAATTCAATGGAGGAAATACAGCCTTTTTAACAGATGGTGCTGGAGTAATTAGATAATCCAAAGGCAAAAACATAAACCTTGACCTAACTGTCACATCTTAATAAAAAGGTAATTCAAAATGGATCACTTGCCTTAAATGTAAAACCTGAAACTGTAAAAAATTTTGAAAACAAAAACATATCAAATATTCGGGATCTTGGACTAGGCAAAAGTTCATAGACTTGACACAAAAACATAATCAATACAAGGGAAAACTGATAAATTAGAATTCATCACAATTAAAAACTTTCCGGTCGGGCGTGGTGGCTCACACCTGTAATCCCAGCACCTTGGGAGGCTGAGGCGGGCAGATCACAAGGTCAGGAGTTTGAGACTAGCCTGACCAACATGGTGAAACGCTGTCTCTACTAAAAATACAAAAATTAGGCAGGTGTGGTGGTGCGCGCCTGTAATCCCAACTACTCAGGAGGCTAGGCAGGAGAATCGCTTGAACCCCGGAGGCAGAGGATGCAGTGAGCCGAGATAATACCACTGCACTCCAGCCTGGGTGACAGAGTGAGACTCCGTCTCCAAAAAAAACAACTTTCTATGCAAAAGATCCAGTTAAAAAGTTGATAAGACAGGCGACTGGAGAAAACCTTTGCAAAACCACACAGTCCTAATATTAGCATTAATGTCTACACTATTAAGAAATCTTACAACTCTACATTAAAAAAACAAACAATCCAATTAGAAAGCAGGCAAAAGACATGAAGAGGCATTTCATTGAAGAGGATACACACATGGCAAATAAGCAAATGAAATGATGTTCAACATCATTAGCCACCAAGGAAATGCAAATTAAAACCATAATGAGATACCACTATGTACCTGTTAGAACGGCTAAAATTAAAAAATCATGATAGCAGCAATTGCTGGAGAGGATGAAGAGAAACTAGATTATTCATACTTCGCTGTTTGGAATGTAAAATGGTAGAGTCCAGAAAACATTTTGGCAGCTTCTTAAAAAACTAGACATGCAACTACTATATGACTCAGAAATTACACTGTCAGGCATTTTTTCCAGAGTAATGAAAACTTGTGTTCACACAAAGACCTGTGCATTAATGTTTATAGCAATTTTATTCACAATGGCCCCAAGCTAGAAGCAATCTATCAGATGGCCTTCAACTGTACATGTTTAAACAAACTGTAGGACATTCATACCAAGAAATACTGCTCAGCAACAAAAAAGAACAAACTATTGACACATGCAACAACCTAGATGAATCTCAGAGAATTATGCTGAGTGATTAGAGCCAATCTCAAAATTACATATTGTATGATTCCATTTGCATGACATTCTTAAAATAACAAAATTATAGAATAAGGAGCAGATTAGTAGCTGCCAGGGGTTAAGGAGGGGATGTAGGTGAGAGGCAAGAGGATGTGGTTATAAAAGAGCAACATAAAAGATCTCCATGGAAAGGCAGGACTGGTGGTTCATGCCTGTGGTCCTAGCTACTGAGGAGGCTGAGGTGAGAGGATCACTTGAACCTGGGAGGTTGAGGTTGCAGTGAGTCATCATTGTGCCTCTGCACTCCAGCCTGGGCAACAGAGGGAGACCCTGTCTCAGAAAAACCTTAATTAAAAAATTCTCTGTAATATATAAATAATTCACAATAAAGTGCATTATTTAAATATTATAGTGTACACCATGGACTACTATGCAGCCATAAAAAGGAATGAGATCGTGTCCTTTGCAGGCACATGGTTGGAGTTGGAAATCATTATCTTCAGCATACTAACACAGGAAGGGTAAACCAAACACCATGTGTTCTCACTTACAAGCGGGAGTTGAATTATGAGAACACATGGAAGGGAACGACACATTCTGGGGCCTCTCAGAGCAGGGTGTGGTTGGAGGAGCATCAGGAAAAATAGCTAATGGATGTTGGGCTTAATACCCAGGTGATGGGATGATCTGTGCAGCAAACCACCATGGCATACATTTACCTGTGTAACAAACCTGCACATCCTGCACGTGTACCCCTGAACTTAAAATACAAGTTGAAGAAAAAAAATATTATGGTGATATGCTTTGTGCCAGGCCATACTCCTGGGCTCAATCCTTAACATTTTAATACTCCTCACCATCAGCTGGGGATGCAGCCTGGACTATGACTGTTACAATGAGAAGGAGCAAAATCTGAGCAATTCTGGGAAGCCAAATCACCCAGGATTTGGGGAATAATGGAAGTGAGGGGAGTGGAAAACAGAAGTGCTGACTCTCTAGTTTCAAGTTAGCATGTCTAGAATAATAGAGATCCATTCAACAGCCTTGATGTAGTTGGGAGGTCTTTTTTAGGAAGGAGAATAAGAAGAAATTAGGTCCCCATGTGCTGATTTTTTCTTATTTTTTTCCTCCTTTGACAACTTTCTGAAATAATGCATCCAGTGTGCCCTGAACATAATGGTAAGAGTTTCTTTAAACCCATTAGCCAATTCTCTTAGCAACTTAGGATGTATGTTATAGAGGTGCCATTTTAAAGATATTTCAATGTTTCCAATATATTTGCTTTTTAAAATATCAATAACTTATTTCACACAATTTCCCTTGCTTATTTTCCTGATATTTTTAAAGCCAAGGGCAGATTTTAACCACAATGTTGTACCTCTGAGGTTTCCAATCATAGCATCATGCTGTTCACCTGTTTCTTTTTGGGGGGCTGTTATCTCTTCTCATGTAGATGAATTAGGAAGAACTCTTCTTTTAAGAATTTTTGGCCATTATTAACAATCTCCCTTTTTCCTTTATTTTTTTAAATTAATTAATTAGGTTTTTTGTTTTGTTTTGTTTTGTTTTTTTGAGATGGAGTCTCTCTCTGTCACCCAGGCTGGAGTGCAGTGGCATGATCTTGGTTCACTGCAACCTCCACTTCCTGAGTTCAAGCGATTCTCCTGCCTCAGCCTCTTGAGTAACTGGGATTATAGGTGTGTGCCATCTCACCCGGCTAATTTTTGTATTTTTAGTAGAGACAGGGTTTTGTCATGTTGGCCAGGCTGGTCTCAAACTCCTGACCTCAGGTGACATACCCACCTTGGCTTCCCAAAGTCCTGGGATTACAGGCGTGAGCGACCATGCCTGGTCTATTTTTTATTTTGAAATGCTCTCACTCCATTCCCCAGGCTGGAGTGCAGTGGTGTGATCATGGCTTACTGCACCTTGACCTCCTGGACTCAAGCAATCCTCCCACCTTGACCTTCCAAGTAACTGGATCTACAGGCAAGGGCCATCGCATCCAGCTAATTTTTTAAATTATTTTTTAGAGATGGAGTCCTGCTATGTTGCCCGGCTGGTCTTGAATTCCTGGCCTCAAGCAATCCTCTTGCTTTGGCCTCCCAAAAGGCTGGGATTACAGGCATGAGCCACTACACCTGGGCAGCTTCTGGTTTTATATCTTTCTTCCACATTTCTGTCAAACTATAATCTTGCTTTGCCTCTCCTTTATTTTTTATTTCAACAATGAAAGATTTTGCTGATTCCTTCTATTTCCACACTGAAAAAGTATTAGTATTTATTATTATTTTTACTTCTTGCCCTTGAGAATAACATGCATACATATGTGTGTGGTGAATATATCCATATAATATATAATATACATTATATGTACATCTTATATATGCATTTTATATATACAAAGTGCACTATGTAAAATATATATAATATATACATATTGCACTTTTCTCTTTTTCTAAATCTCCTTAGAACTAGATGTTTCATATTAAATATCTTGTACAAAACAAATCTCAAAATCATTTTTTCACTAAAATGAAGGATGCCAGAGTGATTATATAGAGCTTTCATTCCTATTCTCAAGTGCTTAGAGAGAGGCCTCTTCTGAACAGCAATGAAATTCAGAAATCTTTGGGATTAAGATGAGGTTTCTGCACAGTCCTGTAGCTGGACCACAGACTCTGCTGTGTACTGAGAGTCTTGTATCTTAATTGTCTGCCCAACCAGTACCCGTCATTAGCACTGATGTGTGTTGGGGCAGTGCCTGTTACAGCTGAAGTGCTCTTGTCCTTTTTCCTAATGAGGCAACCTCAGCATGAAATAGTCTTGCATCACCATCTCTCAAGCTGTAGGAACTCTGACGTATTCATGAGATCTGACTTTGTTTCCACAGAGCTGACCACTGATACAGAGACCAAAATCCCACTCAAATCAACGTAAGTATAGAGCTTATTTTATTTTTAATTACAGAGACAGGGTCTCGCTGTCGCCCAGGCTGGAGTGCAGTGGCGCACTCACAGTTCACTGTAGCCTCAAAATCCTGAGCTTCAGTGATCCTCCCTCTCCGGCTTCCCAAGTAGCTGGGACCACAGGCACACACCACCATACCTGGCTAATGTTTTTTATTTTTGGTACAGAGTCTCGCTGTGTTGGCCAGGCTGGTCTTGAACTCCTGGGCTCAAGTAATCCTCCTGCCTCAGCCTCCTAAAGCACTGGGATTACAGGCATGAGCCACCGTACCCAGCCTAAAGAGCTTATTTTAGAATCCAGAAAGCTTCTGGAATCCAAGGTAAGCAGGGCCCCATGACAGGAACTGGAAACCAGAAAGGTTGCAGCTAAGGTGCTCTCCAGGGTGTCCTCTCTCCTTTGCTTTTTCTGTCCCTTTCTCTCTGGAAACACAAGGCCCTCATATGCATTTTCTCTTGTGCATTCTTTCTCTCTCTCCCTATCTCATTCTCATTCTCTTTCTCTGTAGGCCTATAGTTCAAAATGTCCGCCAGATCACTTGAGGTCAGGAGTTTAAGACCAGCCTGGCCAACATGGTGAAACCCTGTTTCTATTAAAAATACAAAAATTGGCGGGGTGTGGTGGTGTGTGCATGTAATCCCAGCTGCTCGGGAGGCTGAGGCAGGAGAATCACTTGAACCCGGAAGGCGGAGGTTGCAGTGAGCCGAGAACCCAGAAAGCAGAGGATGCACTGCACTCCAGCCTGGGCAACAGAGCAAGAATCCGTCTAAAAAAAAAAGTCCGCCAGCCACATTTCATCATTGCCTTTCTGAACATTTTTCTTCATTTCTTGGAGTTTCAATTCCAAATCCCTGATACCCAAAGAAATTTAGGCCTGAGACTCACATTTCTGGGAAACCTATAGGTAGGCCCCTTCCCTGGGTCTCATGAATGATCCGCTGGGATCTAGGGCTCCTTACTTACCTACAACGGGGAGGGGGTGGGGGGTAAGATAAGATTCTCTGAAGAAAGATGGGTTGATTATTTAAAATATATGTATACTCTCTAAGGATATTTGTTTGTTTATCACATCCTAGTAATACTTTTCAATAAAGCTCAACATTTACTGTGGAGGGAGAAGTTGCTTCCTCACAATTCGGCCTGAGTCAGATGGCGACCCATTACTCCCCCATGCAGCCAAGTCTGTGGGAGCTGCTATGTAACTGCGAGGATTACAGTATTTGGGGAGTTAAGGTACTGGAAAGAGGAATGGGTTGATGGTTGAGAATTCGATCCTTACATCTGAGTGCTGATAAGATCCTAACCCACTGTATGACCTTGGACAAAACAAATAACTTTCTGAGCTTATTTTTTTCTAATTTGTTCAATGTGGAGGCTGGTGTAAATCAGTGGTTCCCAGTTTTTTAGAGTATGAAAACTCTTCTTAATTTCAAAAAATCATGAATACCACATTATAATGGTGTCAATTTCATTGCCCACTGAAAGGAAAAATACCTATAAATACATACGGGTTCTAAGGCTCTTCTAATAACTCCAGAGTCTCTGTGAAATGCTACAGGCTAGAATCATTGATCTAGCTGACATTGAACCCCTTCTGGTGATGATAATCTGGGGCTCAAGTCAGGGGAATTGGGACTCCTTAGAAAACATTCACTTATTCAAAAGGAAAGCTAAATATCGGATCCAAGAACAGCGCTAGAAGTTTTCAAAAGAGATGAAGTAAGGCAGATTCAAGGATCTAAGAATCTGAGCTGAGAAAGAACAGAAGGAAGAATGAACACTAACAACAGTGGAAGGCTGTGGGGCAGCGTGTCGGGAAGCAGAGTTATACAGTGCGGCTCATGCCAGCAAGAGGGTCAGATGCCATGATAACTAAGAAAAGGAAGGCAGAGGGGGAGGTGATTTTGACTCTCAGGCAGGGTGGGCCACCTCTTCTTGACCTAAATATGTTATATAGCAGCATATTAAATATAAAATACTAATATAATATAATTAATAATACACGTTATATTGAATAATACTCACATATAAAACTACCAAGACAGTGTATGTGCATGGTTCATAGTAGGCTAGTTTTTCTCTCCCCTCCTTTGTTACCTTAACATTGAAGTGTTACTTAAAGCCTTCTATTTAAAATTCTGTAAAGATTAGTACCATCTGAGTTGACATCAAGAAGATAGTAGCAATGATTTAGGGTAATTTCCGTGATGTACATACAAGAGTTATGCCCACAGAAAAATTTATTTTTATGACTCATTCAAGCACTGTCCCTTTTGTGTTTTTCAATACTTTGTTTGCTTCATATCAAAAAAAGAGACTGATTCTCAAAGACATTCTGTCTTATAGCATTCTTCCTAAAGTTTTTAGGAGATCTTAACCTGACAGTTTATATTTCCCAGAGTTAAACACATATTCGAGAATTAGGTTGAGAATATAAGGTCAAATTTCGACTCAACATTCATCAAGCTGCACTAAGAAGCAAGACAGGAAAATAAGAAAAATACCTGAAAAATTTTACAGGTTATTAATTGTGTTAGTTTATTTTGCTTTTCTATAAAGGAATACCTGAGACTGGGTAATTTATAAAGAAAAGTGGTAGGAGTTGCCACACTCTTTTTTTTTTTTTTTTTTGAAATGAAATCTCTCTCTTGTCCCCCAGTCTGGAGTGCAATGGGGCAATCTCTGCTCACTGCAACCTCCGCCTAGGGTTCAAGCAATTCTCCTGCCTCAGCCTCCTGAGTAGCTGGGATTACAGGTGTGCACCACCACACACACCTAATTTTTTGTATTTTAAGTAGAGACGGAGGTTTCACCATGTTGGCCAGGCTGGTCTCGAACTCCTGACCTCAGGTGATACGCCCGCCTCAGCCTCCCAAAGTGTTGGGATTACAGGTGTGAGCCACCGCACTCAGCACCACACTCTTTTAAACAACCAGATCTTGTGTGAACTCAGAGTGAGAACTCACTCATTACCATGGGGAGAGCACCAAGCCATTTATGAAGGATCCACCCCCATGACTCAAACAGCTCCCACCAGGCCACACCTCCAGCATTGGGGATTACATTTCAACATGAGATTTGAGGGAACAAAACTTCGAAATTATACCATTAATTCTCAGAATCTTTTTATTATTACTATTTTGATTTCTATATTCTAGCAAACATATCCTTTGGAGAATAGAAACTCCCTCCACTCCTCCAATAAATTCAACTGTAGAAGCTTTAAGAAAAACAGAAATCTTATAAGAAAGTATTGGTCCAAATATAAATCAAACTAAAATGTTGCAGTGTTTCTAGCAATTTATAGTGTGTAAGAAAAAATAGACCCTTCAAGTGTGTTGACAGAGAAATTATATTTCATTTTTTAACGAATCAAATAGTATTATTTGATTCTTCAGTGAATAATGTTCATATATTCATAGCCTGTGAATAATATTAACACATTCTGTTTTTAGTTTTCAGAATCAATCTATAGACAAAGTATGTTTAAGGGACAGAATGTAAATGTTTTAAATCTAAACATTGAAAATTTATTATTATTTTTAATTTTCACTTAATAATTTTACATATTTATGGGGTACACTGTGATTTTCCATACAAGTATAAAATATGTAATAATAAAATCAGGGTAATTAGCATATCTATCACCTCAAACATTAATCATTTCTTTGTGTTGAGAACATTTAAAATCTACTCTTCTAGCTACTTGAAAATATATAGTAAATTGTTGTGATTATAGTCCTGCTATAATGGTATAGAAAACTAGAACTTATTCCTTCTAGCTGTACTTTTGCATCCATCAACTAACCTCTAGCTATTCTCCACTCATTCTACCCTTTCCAGCCTCTAGTAACCACTAATCTACTCTATACTTCCATGAGATCAACTTTTTTAGCTTCTGTATATGAGTGAGAACATGTTGTATTTATGTGCCTGTTCCTGGCTTGTTTCACTTAACATAATATCCTCCAGGCTCATCCATGTTTCCTCAAATGACAGAACTTTGTTCTTTTTTTATAGCTTTGTTCTTTTTTATATTCCATTGTGTATATATACTGCATTTTCTTTTTTCTTTTTGAGATGGAGTCTCGCTCTGTCTCCAGGCTGGAGTGCAGTGGCATGATCTCGGCTCACTGCAACCTCCGCCTCTCGGGTTCGAGTGATTCTTCTGCCTCAGCCTCCCGAGTAGCTGGGACTACAGACGTGCACCACCATGCCCAGCTAATTTTTGTATTTTTAGTAGAGACGGGGTTTCACCATGTTGGTCAGGATGGTCTTGATCTCTTGACCTCATGATCTGCCCGCCTTGGCCTCCCAAAGTGCTAGGATTACAGGCGTGAGCCATGCATTTTCTTTATTCACTCATTTGTTGCTGGGCACTGAGGTTGATTCCATATCTTGGTTATTGTGAATAATGCTGTAATAAACATGGGAGTGCCTATCTCTTTGACATACTGATTTCCTTTCCTTTGGATAAATACCCAGTAGTGGGATTGCTGGATCATATGGTAGTTCTATTTGTAGTTTTTTGAGGAACCTCTATACTGTTTTCCGTAATGGCTGTCTAGAAGGCAGAAGTCAGCTCTTTTGTGGAGGTTCCTCAAATGTCAGTATCTGTAGGTCTTTACCGTGGGATGGTTCTATTTTTCTAGAAAAGGATCTTCTAATATTTTGCCTAAAGGATTTAAGCCAGGTATTGCCAGTGTTCTATAACAAGGGATAAAGATTTGGAATTGGAACTCCAAGAGATGAAGAAAAGTGGTCAGGAGGGTGATATGATGTAATGTTGGGGCTGGCAGACATTGGTTGGTGAACCATGTTCAAGCATGCAGTCAGCATAGAACCATCCAAAATTCAAGAAAACTCTCCAACAGCAAAAAGCAGGAGAAAATAAATAAGTCAGAAAGCTAAAAAATATTAGGGAAATTTTCTAGAATGTAGAGCAATAGTCTTTTTGTCCTACCAAAAGATGTACATAAGAGAGCAAAAATACAGGAGCTCAACATCTGAATAATAGAAGTTCCAGAGAGAATGAACAGAGAAAATAGTGGGGGAAATTGATTAAAGAAACAATTAAGGAAAATTTCCCAAAATAAAGGAAATGTCTCTAGATGAATGAAAAATGAGTCCATCTACCCGGATGTGGTAGCTCATGCCTGTGATCCCAGCCCTTTGGAAGGCCGAGGTGGGTGGGTCACCTGAGGACGGGAGTCCGAGACCAGCCTGGCCAACAAAACCCCATCTCTACAAAAAAATAAAAAAGGTAACCTGGCATGATGGTGTGCACCTGTAGTCCCAGCTACTCGGGAGGCTGAGGCAGGAGAAACTTTTTTTTTTTTGAGACAGAGTCTTGCTCTGTGGCCCAGGCTGAAGTACAATGGCATGATCTTGGCTCACTGCAACCTCCCACTCCTGGGTTCCAGTGATTCTCCTGCCTCAGCCTCCCAAGTAGCTGGGATTACAGGCGTGCACCACCATGCCTAGCTAAATTTTTTTTGTATTTTCAGTAGGGACGAGGTTTCACCATGCTGGCCAGACTGGTCTCAAACTCCTGACCTCAGGTGATCCACTCATCTCAGCCAAAGTGCTGGGATTACAGGTGTGAGCCACTGTGCCTGGACCAGGAGAAACTCTTGAACCCAGGAGGCGGAGGTTGCAGTGAGCTGAGATCGCACCCCTGCACTCCAGCCTGGGCAACAGAGCGAGACTCCATCTCAAAATAATAATAATAATAAATAAATAAATGAAAAACATGTCCATCAAAAAGCCAAATCATTTTGAAATTTCAAAACCCCAGATATAAAGAAAAGATCCCGAAAGCTTCTAGAGAGAAAAAGAAAACCAATTTATGTACAAAGCGCTGGTTCCAAGAATGGCAACATTTGTAGTCCTAACTCTCACAGAGAGTTTTCCTTCTATTTAAGCCTATATTGTTGTTAAACCCCTTTTGCTGAGGGCTCGTCTTCTGAGTTTTATTTCTGAATTCTCCCCTTCACTACCCATTTGCTCTCCTCATTAAAAAATACTCTTACAGAGTTCTATCACATACTCAAAACAGTCTTTTCTCCCCTTACCCTATTTCCAGATCTGACGCTGTGACAGACTAAGTGTATACTGGCCTGGATCTTTCTCCCTTTGCTGGGAGAGCCATTTCTTTAGTCATCATCTGTACTGAGCAGTGGTCAACTGTGAATTTCCTCAGCACATGCCAGCTGAGCTCAGTTACCAGGGTCTCTGCAGAGACTGGCTCCACCTGCCTTTCTGCACCAAGTTGTTGACAACTTCTCTCTTACTCCTTCTTGGAGCCATCTCAGTCCTCTTTGGTGGTCAGAAGGAGATGAAGCTGTCAGTCAGGCAGCAGCTGCCACAACCCACATAATACCAATTCAACCTACAAACACAATCATGAGATTTCTCTTTGCTGGTAACCAGACAATAGGCCCATCCACACTGCAATTCTGTCCAGTTGAGAAGGTGAGGCAACAAAAATCTGCTTAGATTGACAGCAAACACATAAGTATTGTGCCTGAGAAGTTTTTAAGCAGGAAGGCTTGAATTTACATGTTTGTACAAAACCAAAACCCCTTCCTTACTTTGTCTCTCTCTACTCTCTCCATCTTCCCTTTTATTTCCTTAATGATGGTCTTCTAGTTCTACCTACCCTAGGTTCATGTTAGGCTCATAGTACAGGTTCTCTCCTTTATCATTTCATTATTCTATGGAGTTATAGCTGTTCTTGTGTCCTTATGGTCTGCAAATGCCAGAAATTGTTCAAATGGTCACCTCTTGTATCATTTAGCTTCTGCTGCATAACAAATTACCCCAAAACTTAGTGGCTTAATATAACAACCTTTTTTTTTTTTTTATCTCATGATTCTTCAGTCCATTAAGTTAGGCTGGGTTCATCCAAGCAGTTCTGGCCAGGTTGGCTGGGGTTTGGCTGGTTGAGGGGTCTCAACTGAGATCCCTCATCTGTACTTTATGTGGTTTCTCACCTTCCAGCAGGCAATCCTGGGCGTGGTCACATGGTGACGGCATTATTCAAAGAGTGTGCTCTTTGAACACAATATAGGAAGCTGCAAGGCCTCTTGGGGCCTACGCTTGGAACTCATTCAATGCCAGTTCTGTGGTATTCTATTGACCAAAGCATGTGGCAAGGCCATCCCAGATTCAAGGTGACTCTACCCTTTTTTTTTTTTTTTTTTTGGTGAGAAGAAGTCTTGCTCTGTGGCCCAGGCTGGAGTGCAGTGGCAAATCTCGGCTCACTGCAACCTCCACCTCCCGGGTTCCAGCGATTCTCCTGCCTCAGCCTCCTGAGTAGCTGGGACTACAGGTGCATGCCACCTCACCTAACTAATTTTTGTATTTTTTAGTAGAGACAGGGTTTCTCCATGTTGGCCAGGTTGGTCTCGAACTCCTGACCTCAGGTGATCCACCCAGCTGGACTTCCCAAAGTGCTGGTATTACAGGTGTGAGCCACAGCACCCGGCCAACTCTACCTCTTAATGGGAGAAACTACAGAATATTATGGCCATTTTTACAATGTACTGTATTTCAGTAGAGAAAAACTGGGAGTAGGGAAGGAAAAAGATGGACAACTTTTACTTTTCACTTACGGAATTACGTTTTGTTTAAATTTTAAAAATTATGGATGCATATACACTACTTCTACAATAACAATAATGATAACACATTAAAATATGACTCCAAATATTTCTTGTATTATCTTAGTTACACGAGGATAATAATCTAATCCACTGATATTTTGAAGGACCCATGATTTTGAATCAAAACACCTAATTCAGGCTTTGTCTTTGAACCACCTCTAATTATAAGGCTAAATAATGGTAAATTTAATATGAAATCCTCCAGCATGGAGCTTGACACATAGCAAATGTTGGGTAAATCTGAATCTGAATGAGAAGATAGGGGCAAAAAAGATGTATGAATAATATAAAAATAACTTTAAAATCTGTTCTATTTATTTTTTGTTTTGTTTTCTGAGACAAGGTCTTGCTCTGTTACCCAGGCTGGAGTGCAGTGGTGCAATCATAGCTCACTGCAACTCCTGGGCTCAAGGGATCCTCCCACCTCAGCCTCCCAAGTAGCTGGGACCACAGGCACACACCACCAAGCCAGGCTAGTTGTCTTTATTTTTATTTTTAATAGAGACGAGGTCTCCCTGTGATGCCCAGGCTGGTCTTGAACTCCTGAACTTGAGTGATCCTCCTGTATCAGCCTCCCAAAGTGCTGGGATTACAGGCATGAGTCACTGTGCCCAGCCAAAATCTGTTCTATTAATTTAGTGTTTATAAAAACAACTTGCCAGCTTTTATTATGGCAACTTGAACTTTAATGGACAAGAAAAGAGATTTGATTTAACTTCATATACTTGCAGTTTGGACTGTTGGAGAAAATATTAACAGCATGTCCATTGCTGTAATGCAAGCTGGGAATTATAACCTAAGGCAGCATGAAGAGTGTTCTTAAATTCTAGTCCTGCAAGTCACCCATCTAATTAAGAAACCATATATCTTATGATACATGCCAGGAATTCTCCTTAGCTATATCAAGTGGAGCCTTGGGGAGACATCCACAGGAGCTATTTTTCAAAAAACCTTCTTTCTGGCTGGGTGCGGTGGCTCACGCCTGTAATCCCAGCACTTCGGGAGGCCAAGGCGGGCAGGTCACCTGAGGACAGGAGTTCAAGACCAGCCTGGCCAACGTGGTGAAACCCCGTCTGTACTAAAAATACAAAAATTAGCCAGGCATGGTGGCACCTGCCAATAATCCCAGCCACTTGGGAGGCTGAGGCAGGAGAATCAATTGAACCCGGGAGGAGGAGGTGGCAGTGAGGCGAGATCACGCCATTGCACTCCAGCCTGGGCAAAAGAGCGAAACTCCGTCTCAAAACCAAAACCAAAACCAAAACAAACAAACAACAAAACTTCCTTTTTTTAGCAGCTGCAGCACATATTAGCAAGTGGCAGAAAAGTGACCTCTTAATTTTGTTCAATAGACCCCATATTCAGTTTGTTCTTGTGCTTTTACCAGTACTTACTATTTCTCCAAATTAAAAATGGATAAATAGAAGCAATAAAAATATGTTAGAGAAATTCTTGCAGATCTTTTTTGGCTGATTTTCAATCCAGAATATGTTTTCCTAAAGTCTCACAAAGTATTTACAAGAACAGGCCTGCTATTTATTTAATGACCATTCGATGCCATCCTGACCTTTCCCAGGAAGGTCAAAGAGTAGCCTGTTATTTGAATGCCTAATTTAACTGGACAAAGGAAATTGCTTTCATAATTTCTACTTTGGCCTTCCTGATTGAACCAAATGTCAACTTTCCACACAATGTTCCCCAACAAACATTCTTATTCCTAATGCAACCAGATTAGATCAATCTGCATCTGTCTCCATTGTACCCTGGGATTGCATAAACTCTGGATACATATTTATTTTGTGGATTCATTTCCATGTTAATTGGAACGCAGTTTCCTGGAATTTCTTTTCTGAGTATGATAATCTTCTTACAGTCAGCATGATGGAAACAGCTGTGTGCTGTTTACTTTAAGGAGGATGGTGTTCCTTGCTCAGATGATCATTGGATATCCACTTTCTAGATCAAATATTGTATCTCCATTCTTTCTTATAGAATTATTAGAACATGTTAATTTATGGAGGACTTTCAAACTCAATTTTATTAGGCTACTGGTTTGGGGAGAGCATAGTACACAACAAAAATTATTGAAAAGCCATAATATTTAATTAAATCTCTGCTTTCTAAGTAGATTTTTAAAATCAACCTTATTTATTTATTTATTTATTTATTTTTGAAACAGTGTCTTGCTCTGTCACCCAGGCTGGAGTGCAGTGGCACAATCTCGGCTCACTGCAACCTCTGCCTCCTGGGTTCAAGCGATTCTCCTGCCTCAGCCTCCCAAGTAGCTGGGATTATAGGCTCGTGCCACCACGTCCTGCTATTTTTTGTATTTTTAGTAGAGACGGGGGTTCAGCATGTTGGCCAGGCTGGAAATCAACTATTTTTTAATTACAAAAGTTATATATGTAAAGTGCAGAAAATCTGGAAGTTTGACAATCCCACTATTGTTAACATTTTGATGGCTTTCTTTCATAAACACATAATAGATTTTTGTAAGATATTTTTATTCTGAGCAGATAAATACAGTATCAGTCCAAACACTTTTTCACCAGCCATCCGTCTAATCTAACTAAGGAGTTATTAGATGATAAAATAAAGCAGATTATTCAATCCAACATCAAACATGTTCTGAAGATTTACTATGTGCTCCACACTTTCTCCTCTCTGGGATGGGTGAGAAGAGCACAAAAATAAATAAGACACATCCTTGCTTTGTCAACATGATTAGCAACCAAGATAGAGTTGCTTTAGCCTCCACAGGTATATTGCCATTCCAAACACAGTCAGGCTTAATAAATAAAAATAGAATACATATTAGGTAGACAACTCAGTCTCTACCATGTCACCTGAGTTTAGCCATGCATGTCTCTTTAGGGCAACCATTTTATATATAAGAGATGTCTCAGCTTCCCTCCCTGGAAACTCTTCTCTTCCCTCTCTAGGATCAGACACATGCTCTCATCAGTACAGTTAAGGATCAGATGAGAGATGAATTGGGCTTTGTCAATTCCCATTCCCATTGTTGCTTACTATCTTATCAACAAAACTAAAACAAGCTTAAGGAAAAATGTTTCATCTATGTTAATTTTCTCTACTCCTTTTTGTCATAAAAATAAAATAAATTATTTTTCATATTGTCCCTTTCCTGTGTCCTCTTAATCTTTGTTTTTTGCACAAAATTGCAGTATGGTTTACTTTACTTTTGGGGTCCAATCCCAGGCTGAGGTCCTGACCCTTGAAATTCTTGAAAGCAGAGACACTCAACTACTGGCTGTTGTCAGATGCTGTGAGGACCTGAGCAGTTCTGGGTGAAAACCCAGATAGGGAAGTTGTTTCTCCAGTTGATGAACACACTGTAATTCTTATTTGGGACAGAAAAAAAGGTGTAGGAAGATGTTATGACTATGTAACAAATAGAAGCCTGGGCAACACAGGGAGACCACTTCTCTACAAAAATTTTTTAAAAACTCAACTGGGCACGGTGGCTCATGCCTGTAGTCCCAGCTACTCAGGAGGTTGAGTTGGGAGGATTACTTGAGCCTGGGAGGTTGAGGCTGCAGTGATCATGTCACTGTGTCACTGCACTCCAGTCTGGGTGACACAGCAAGAAGACCCTGTCCCCCAAAACAAAACAAAACAAAAACAAACAAACAAACAAAAAACTCAAATAGACCTAGAATGTATTTAAAAGGAAAAGTAGCACCAGTTGGAACTCTGATGGTCAAAAACAAAAACAAAACCCTCATCTGCCTAGGTATACACCCAAAAGAATGAAAACAGAGATTTTAATAGATACTTGAACATCAGTGTTGATAGCAGCATTACTCACCGTAGGCAAAAGATGGGAAACAACCTCACTGCTCTTTGACAGATGAATGGATAAACAAAATGTCATGTAAATATTCATCCTTAAAAATGATGAATTTTTAAAATGATGAATAGTCAGACATGTGCTATAACATGGATGAACCTTGAAAACATCATGCTAAGTGAAATAAGCCAGGCAAGAAGGGACAAATATATGGTTCCACTTATATGGGGTACCTAGAATAGACAAGTTCATAGAGATAGAAAGTTTGATAGAGGTTACCGGGGACTGAGGGACAGGGTGAATGGAAAGTTACTGTATAATGAGCACGGAGTTTGGAATGATGGAAGAGTCCCGGAAATGGATAGTGGTAATGGTTGCATACATTTTGAATGTACTTAATGTCACTGAATTGTGCACTTAAAAGTGGTTACAATGGTTTTATATTATGAATGTTCTCCATCTTAGTACCTATCAACTCTTCCTGCTTGCTACAGGCTTTCCCTTTCTACCCTTAGGCAGGCATGGCTCTCCCTGAGTCAACAATATGCAGCCCCTAGGGTGGCCACAAGCCCAGGATCCCTCCCAGCCTGAAGGAACTGTACTCATATTGCCCTGGGTTGGCAGCCTGGGTTCTCTGCTGAGTTACCCCAAAGTGGTTTCAGGACAGCACAATTATTTATTAAGTAGCTCTGGTGCTGACCTTAAGAAAAAACAGAACAACGAAAGTATTAAGCGTAAAACCTTTCTCTTTTAATGAATGAGTAAATATTCATGTTATTATTCCTAGAAATAAGAACTCTGTCCGCCTGGGTAACATAGTGAGACACCATCTCTACAAAAAAATTAAAAAGCTAGCCAGGCGTGGTGGCATGCGCCTGTAGTCCCAGCTACTTGGGAGGCCTAAGGCAGGAGGATTGCTTGAGCCTGGGAGGTTGAGGCTGCAGTGAGTCATGGTCATGCCACTGCCCTCCAGCCTGGGTGATGCAGCAAGACCTTGTCTCAAAAAAGAAAAAAAAAAAGGAAGAAAGAAAAGAAAAGAAAAAAGAACTCTGAAGACCTTGGGAAAGAATGGTACTTAGTAGTTAGAGTTCTGTATATAAGGAAAATATTTCCAAATGCTCTATGAGGTCTGGAAAGTTATTTCACTAAGTACATTCAAAGTTGCAACAGGAGATCATTTTTTGCTGGATGGTTTTAATAATAATATACAGTGCCCCATGTATAAAGAGCTGTAGCTAATGGCAGCCATAAGGTATGTAAGCACAAAAGGGACATGTGTTTATGCTGAAGGTTTTGATTTCAAAAATAAGGCCATGTTTTAAGTTATTAGAGAGCACGATTCTTATACTATCAAGGTATTACAATGCTTTGGAGATGTCCATTAATTTATGGGCTTTTGGATTCCTGTAAGTGCTTACTTCATAATTCCTGGGTCTATATTTGCCTTGAATATCCATCAATATTCCACAAGTACTTGCTGCAACCCTATCCTCCCTACAAGCTCCCCCAGTACAAACATACAAAATTGATAAGACTCAAGGTCCTCTCTTGCCACAATCAGATCATTAACCTGCGCTGCCAACCAGAGTTTCATGGTTCTTTATTTATTTATTCATTTATAATATCTAGGATTATAGTCTAAGAAGCAGGATTCTCCAAGGAAAATGGTCACACACACACACACACACACACTCTTACATTATCACTGGCTCAGCCGGCTGGGATTAGACTTTAACTCAGGCCCTTTATTAAAATGAAGTTGCAAAAGGCCAATTTCACTTCCTCTTTCCAAGAGGTGTGAGATTCTTGCCACATCCCCAGGCCCCTACATGTTCTGTAGGTAGAAAGAAGCAAAATAATCTCCAATATGTGCAAAGTTCAGAAATCAGGGCTGCCAGAAGACAGACTGGCTATGATGGACTGTCATTTGGTATTACTAAAAAAAAAATCATGGGTCATTTACCAAAATCTCACTTTATATTCAGCTATTTTAGTATCACATTGACAAAGTACAGGGTTAGAAATACAAACAAATTTAGAAATGAGGAGGTAAAGCTAGGGGAAAACTAAAAGGCTAGAGGGTGGTTCATATAAAACCTAATTTAAAAATCTATGAGATTTTAAAATACGTGGGGAGTTTACAATCTAGTCTCCTATATTAACACTTCTGAACATTACACATAGTTAGCCATCAAATATTTATTGAGTTCTTCTAATGTGCCAGCCAATGCTCTAGGTGCTGAATATAGTGAACACACCAGAAAAAGTCCTGCCCTTAAGGAGGTTATAAGGCGGAGATGACAATGAACAAATAAACATACAAGGTGAATAACACATAAAATATATAATAAATGTTAAATAATATAGACTATGAAATATGAACATATATTAATAAACTTTTATTGTTCATTATATATTAATAAAATATATAAATATATTAAATGTTATATAAAATAATGAAAATATACAATAAATCAGGCAAGTATTATGACAAAAATTAAGTAGGATAAAGGGCAGTGGTGTACCTAGTGCATCTGACACCCTGAGCAGATCAATTTTTAAATATCTGCCTCCTTTATATGACAAATTATTATATGAAAAATTATATTAAATAATCGTGAAATGAAACATGCAGCAGAGTCTAAGAGGGCCCCCATGATGCCCACTGGTATGATTTGGGTCTGTGGCCTGCCCAAATCTCATCTTGAATTGTAATCCTCAGTGTTGGAGAAGGGGCCAGGTGGGAGGTGATTGGATCGTGGGGGTGGATTACCCCCTTGCTGTTCTCATGATAGTGAGTGATTTCTTGCAAGATTTGGTTGTTTAAAACTGTGTGGCACCTCCCCGCTCTCTCTTTGTCCTGCTCCTGTCATGTAAGACTTGCCAGTTTCCCCTTCACCTTCTGCCATGATTGAAAGTTTCCTGAAGCTTCTTCAGCCTTGCTTCTTGTACAGCCCGTGGCACTGTGAGCCAATTAAACATCTTTTCTTTACAAATTTCCCAGTCTTAGGCAATCCTTTACAGCCGTGTAAGAACAGACTAATACACCCACCTTATGCTATTCATGTCTTGTGTAAATCCCCTCCCCTTGAGTGTGGGTGAGACTTGTTAATTGCTTCTAACCAGTAGAATATGGCAAAGCTGATGGGATACGATTGTGCAACATAAAATTGTACCCCATCTTGCTTGGAGATGCTCACTCTTGCTAGCTTTTCTGGGTAGTGGGAGGGAGATGGTCTTGATCTCTTGTCCAGGCTGGAGTGCAGTGGCATGATCACAGCTCACTGTAGTCTTGACCCCTTGGGCCCAAGCAATTCTTCCACCTCAGCCTCCCAAGTAGCTGGGACCACAGGTGTGTGCCCCTGGCTATTTTTTTCTATTTTTTGTAGAGTCTCATTATGTTACTTAGGCTGGTATCAAACTCCTGGGCTCAAGTGATCCTCTCACTTTGTCCTCCCAAAGTTTTGGAATTACAGGCATGAGCCACCACACATGGCCTCTTGCTTACTTTAAGAAAGCAAAGGTCATGTTGAGAAAGCCCCATGGCAAGGAGCAGAGGGCAGTCCAAGACCAATATCCAGCAAGAGACTGAGGCC
The DNA here is from genome assembly GCF_000001405.40 of Homo sapiens. Taxonomy (NCBI): domain Eukaryota; kingdom Metazoa; phylum Chordata; class Mammalia; order Primates; family Hominidae; genus Homo; species Homo sapiens. The sequence goes on along the minus strand of NC_000012.12, from coordinate 47,311,149 downwards.
CTCAGTCCAATATCCCATGAGTTACTGAATCTTGTTAACTACTACCTGAGCTTGGAAGTGGATCCTTGCTCAGTCTAACCTCAGCTGACACCTTGATTGCATCCTTGTGAGACCCTGAAGTGGAGGACACAGTCAAGCCATGCCCTGATTCCTGACCCACTAAAACTGTGATTTTGTTTATCTTTTCCAAAAACCAACTTTTTATTTCTTTGATATTCTGTATTTTTTAGTCTCAAGTTCATTTATTTCTGCTCTGATCTTTTTTACTTTCCTTCTGTGTATTTTGGGTCTGTTTTGTTTTTGCTTTCCTAATTCCTTTATGTTTATTTGAAGTATTTCTACTTTTTTGAATAAAAATTATTTATATTTAATTTTATATTTCTTTCTGCTTTTTGATATAGGCATTTATTGCTATAAATTTCCCTCTTACTACTGCTTTTGCTGTATCCCATAGATTTTGGTATATTGTATTTCCATTTTTATTCTTTTCAAGAAATTTTAAAATTTTCTTCTTAATTTCTTCATTGACCCATTGGTGGTTCAGGAGCATGTTGTTTAATTTCCATGTGTTTGGGAAGATTTAGAGGTTCCTCTTGTTATTGATCTCTAGGTTTATTCCACTGTGGTCAGAAAAAACCATTTGATACATGATGTAATTTCTACTTTTTTGAATGTATTCAGACCTTTTTTGTGGCCTAAGATATAATCTATTCAGGAGAATGTTCCATATACTAATGAAAAGAATGTGTATTCTGCAGGATTTGAGTGAAATGTTCTGTAATTGTCATACCTATCCGGTCTACTGTGCTGTGTAGTTCAACTCCAAAGTTTCTTTGTTAATTTTCTGTCAGGATAATCTGTCGGTTTCCTGAGAGTAGAGTGTTAAAGTCCCTTGCTATTAGTGTATTTCAATCCATCTTTTCCTTTAGCTCTATTAATGTTTGCTTTATATACTTAGGGGCCCTAGTGTTGCGTGCATAGATATTTATAATTGTTATATTTTCTTGCTGAATTCACCCCTTTATTATTATTTAGTGACCTTCTTTGTCTCTTTTTGCAGTCTTTGATTTGTAGTCTATTTTATCTAAGTACGGCTACTCCTGCTTTGTTTTGGCTTCCAGTGGTATGAAATATCTTTTCACCCCTTCACTTTCAGTCTGTATGTTTTTGTTTTTGTTTTGAGACAGGGTCTTGCACTGTTGTCCGGGCTGGAGTACAGTGGCATGATCTTGACTCACTGCAACCTCCACCCCCCAGGTTCAAGCGATTCTCCTGCCTCAGCCTCCCTAGTAGCTGGGATTGCAGGCTCCTGCCACCACACCCAGCTAATTTTGTATTTTTTTAGTAGAGACAGGGCTTCACCGTGTTGGCCAGGCTGGTCTCGAACTCCTGACCTCAAGGGATCTACCCATCTCGGCCTCCCAAAGTGCTGGGATTACAGGCCTGAGCCAGCATGCCCAGCCAGTCTGTATGTCTTTTTAGGTGGAATGGGTTTCCTGTAGGCATTATATAGTTGAGTCTCGTTTCTTTATTCATTCATCCACTCTATGCCTTTTAATTGGAGAATTCAGTGAATTTACATTCAGTGTTATTGATAAGGACTCACTGCTGCTATTTTGTTGTTTTCTGATTATTTTGTAATTCCTCCCTTCCTTCTTGCTTTTTTACTGTCTCTCTTTGTGGTTAAGTGACTTTCTCTGGTAGTAAGTTTTAATTTGTTGCTTTTAACTTTTAGTGAATCTATTATAGGTTTTTGCATTGGGGTTACCATGAGGCTTATGAAAAACATTTTATAGATAAAACAAATTATTTTAAGGAGATAACAACTTATCTTAGACCACAAAGAAAAGAATGGAAACACACAAAGCAAAAGCAAAAAAAAAAAAATCTACAACTTCCTTACTCTCACATTTTGACTTTTGTCTTAATTTGCCTCTGTTTATATTGCCTATATTTTAACAGGTTAATGTAGCTATTATTGTTTTGGTAGATGCATCTTTTGGGCTTCATACTAGAGTTATGAGTGGATTGCACTCCACAATTACAGTGTAAGAGTATTCTGGGTTTGTCTACTTACTTAATTTTACCAGTGGGTTTTACACCTTCAAATATTTTATTTCTTCTTTTTTTCTTTCTTTAGTTTTTCTTTCTTTTTTCTTTTCTTTTTTCTCTTTTTATTGCACATTTTGCTTTTAGATTGATTGAAGAACTCCCTTTAGCATTTTTTGTATGACAGGTCTGGTGGTGGTGAATTCTCTTCCCTTTTGCTTATCTGGGAACGACTTTATCTCTCCTTCACAGGTGAAGAATACCCTTGCTGGACACTATTCTTGAATGGTAGTTTTTTTCTTTCAGTACTTCTTTGAAAATGTTATCCTACTCCCTCCTGGCCTGTATGGTTTCCATTGAGAAGTTTATTGCCAGATGAATTGGAAATCCTTTATATGTTACTTGCTTTTCTCTTGCTGCCTTTAGGATCCTCTTTGTCCTTCACCTTTGGGAGTTTATTATATGCCTTGGAGCAGTCTTATTTGAGT